>NC_000023.11:32438201-32588558 GCF_000001405.40 Homo sapiens
GCAAATTAGATTAAAGAGATTTTTCACTTATCTTCATACCTCTTCATGTAGTTCCCTCCAACGAGAATTAAATGTCTCAAGTTCCTCATTGATTAGCTCATCCATGACTCCGCCATCTGTTAGGGTCTGTGCCAATATGCGAATCTGATTTGGGTTATCCTCTGAATGTCGCATCAAATTTTCAAGTGACTGAAACACATTTGCAATAATTACTATTTCTCCTTTTTTTTCTAAATACATTGGATTATCAGCAAATGCTCAGTATCTTCTGATTTACATATAATTAAGTCATAATCAATTTAAAGCAAATTTTAATTGGGATTAAAAACACCAAGGAGCATTTTTGCTTCAAAAAATAGGATGTCATTCTATATGAATCTTCATGGGATTATGACAGTGTTGCGGACTGAGAACTTAAAACTTGATTCACAACCACCTTTTTCCTTGACGTCCCCTAACTCTAAAACCAGAAGAGGTAAAACACTAAATTTCTCAACTTCTCTGATAGCTAGTGGTGTCCACGTGACACAATTCTGAAAAAGAGTACTCTCTCAAGAAGAATCCTTTTGCCCTTCCTACTTTTTTGCACATACATGGCCTGGAGGTATAACAATCATCTTTGCACTGGGAGGCAATGACTTTGAGTGTGAGGTCCTTCATGCTCAGGAAGAGAGAGCAGAGAGTGCCTACTCGCCTCATAATATGGCTGAACCATCCTCAACCCTGAGTAACCTCCCTTCACTATTCTTTTCGTGGTGAGAAAAGATCATTTTGTGAGCTTAAACCGTTGTCTGATTCTCTGTTACGTACATCCCAATAATACCCATCTCCTATACTGCTCAAAATTGACAAAGTTGCCTGGCTAGATAATATGATGAAAGTGAATCTCAGTGTCATAGGCATGCCAGAAAACAAGGGATTCAATTTCATCTTACTGGACCTCAAACATATCTATAAAATAAGTGATGGGCATATGTTCTCACAAATTTATTAAATCTTCTGTTTTCCTTGTTTTAAAAAAATGAAAATCTTCCAATACATATTTGTAATTTTTCCTGTTTATGTATTTTTCTTGAATTTTGAGCAAACTCAATACATTGTCCTATTAAGTTTCAAGAAAATAAAGAGACTTCCTAAATACATTTATATTAAAAAAAATCACTATAACCTGTAAAATACTTTAAAAGCCATCAAATTTTTGAGTAGAACAATGTGATTGTTAATAATTTTCCTAATAATTTATATTCCTTATTACTTCTAACAAATCTTAATTTTGTAAATATTTATTTGCAAAATGGATATAAATAATTTTAATGGATACATTATTTTATAAGTCTTAACAAAGTATATACCTTGTTAAATTTTTTTAAAGGTGGATGAAAAGCAACAAAGCAAAATTAAGGGATCAGTTATAAATATCTTGAGTTGCAAGAAAACCTAGAAGTCGTGCAGTTTTTCTATCCTTGATACGTGGTGATCTAGCCCTTTTCACTCAAAATGTCCTCCTGGATAAGCATCAGCAACACTACCAAAGAGCCAATTTTATGTATGTATTTATTTATTTTTTCACTGTGGAATTTCATTTATTGGCTCCATTATCTGAATTAGGAACAATTTGAAATTATGACCACAACATAGAAATAAAAGATAAGAGCACTCGCAATTTTCCTCCTCCCTGCTTGTCTGTGTTGTGGGCATTGTGAGGGCCTCGTCTAAAATAGTAAATAGTAATGGTAAGTTTTGTTTCCCCATCTTTTCTAAATGCTCTTCATTATGGCTTCAAATTTTCTCTCTTTCCTTAACATTCCTTTGTGAACATGCCCTAGTTTTTCAGCACATCACTGAAACTGTGAGAGCAAGAATTTAGCATGGTGCTCCATGTACGATTTGACAATTTCATAGGCTAACAGCATCATCCTATCTTCTGTTCTGGCCACTGTCCTTTTATTAATGTGCTGTAAATTTGCTGCAACTTTTCTAGAACATGTAACACATTGCTGATTCACAAGAAATGTTTGGTCAATTAACTTCTCTGAATACGACAAATTTATAGTCATAGTCAGATAGAGCCAAAATTAAAGTCCACTGGAGATCTACTTCATTGTACTTTAATATCTTTTCAGGTTTTATAATTTCCTTTTGAAAATTAGGAAGTTGGATAAAATGATCTATAGGTGTCTACTCTGATGTTCTAGGATTACAAATTCTATTCTGTCTAAAGAAATACCTTACATTTTCTTCACATCTTGAATAATTTATGCTCCTTATTTTATAGATTTACAGAGGGGCTATACTACTTATAGCTTTACGTACATATATTACATATTCTAAAACAACATATTCATTACATATAGATAAGTCAAAAGTACACTAAAATGCATAGAGCTTGAATGATTAAATGTCAGAAGTTAAAGTCAAGTTTATAAATGCAAACTCATTTAATTATTGAAAGTCTCCAAAGTAAAACTTAAAAATGTACTTACATTTTATGAATACTTTAAAGATATATTTCCAATATTAAAGCATATCCATTTAATAACTCAAAACATTCCGTAAGGTGTAAATTTGTGATTTTAAGTAAGTATAAAATAGGTTCCAATTCAATACGTGCAGCTTTTAAACTGGAAATAATATTTCATATTATCATCCCGATTAGCCCTAAAGCAGTGAGTTTGTTTATTCACACTGTCTTTGCAGGTTTGTGGTACATTTAATTAGGTGAAGCATCTATGTAGAACTTAGTGATATAATAAAGGCAAATTTCCTCTGTGAGAAGCCATTTAAACCCTTTGCAAAATCTTGTGACCTAGAAGGTTATTAGGGGGAACAAAGGCTTTATCCAAAGTACCAGTGCTGAGTGATAACATAGTAATTATACTCTCTTGGGTTGTTTTCTTTGGATTTGTCTTCTATTTGGTACTTGACCTCTTTTAATACTGCATATAAATTATCATCATTTGGCTTAATTTACAACTTACATCTAGCACCTCAGAGATTTCCTCAGCTCCGCCAGGAATGTTTTCAGTGGTTTTAAGTTTAAATTCTACTTCATTTAGCCACTTGTTTGCTTTCTCCAAGTATGACAATAACTCATGCCAACATGCCCAAACTTCCTAAGAAAGAAATATATATCACAGATTAAATATTATGGTAGAAAAGTAAATGTGAAATTTTGCCATTTCATTATTAAAACTTCTGAAAATATAACACTTTGTATTTTTCACCTTTACTTTGTAGCAGGTAATTCAAAATGCAGCTAGACAGTTTCATCATCTAATACCTCTACAATCAAAAGTCATTAAGAAAACATTTTATTACATGAATAATGAATAAATTCAAAAGACAGTAATTTACTTTTTAAAATAAAAATAAGCACCAACATTGCAGTCTGGGAAACAGAAAAATAAAAGCATATGTAAAAATGCATATGTAAATCTAACTCCCTCACACATCACTGTTACCAGTATTCTGTGACCTCCTCTGAAATTTATCATATATAATTTGATAGTTAAAATTTAAGTGAGTTTAACTATAGCTCTCTTTTCACTAAACATTATATCATACCATTTTCTGTATTACTAAGAAGACATATTTTTAATGAAAATCTAAGACTTCTTTAAAGTGGCTCTATCTTAGTTTAGCAATTTCCTTTTTTTAGATAGACTACTTTTAGTTTTGTTTGCTATTATAAATTTATGGTAAACATCATCGTGAATATGGACTATTTTTCCACATTCTTATTATTTCCTTGAGGTATATTATCGGAAATATTACCACTAATTCAAAGGTTTGATTATTTTAAATGGCCATTAATTTGTATTATGAAACTGATTTATACACAGAAGTACTCATAAAAAAGCAGAACTTTAAAATTTCTACAAGAAAATATAGAAGAAAATATTTCTGACTTTGGCATAGAGAAGAATATCTTAAGTAAGACATCTCGTAAAAAACTGACCGTAAGAAAAAAGAGATGAATACATTCGACTACATTAAAATTAGGACCTTCTATTCATCAAAGGACACCATCAAGTAATTGAAAAACAGACTCAAAATAGAAGAAAACAACTGCAACATCTGTAACACATAAGAATATGAAAAATGCCAGCAAGTCAAATAGAAGATGAATAACCCAATCGATAATGAAAAGAAAACCTGAACCAAAATCTTAAAGAGAAATATGTATATACATTAAACATGAAGATATGTTCAATCTCATTAGTAATCAAGGACATGTAGGCCAGGATTACAATGAGATACCATGTTGATTGACACAAATGAGAAGTTTGACAATTCCACGTGTGAGAGAAGATATACATGAACAAAAATTTGTATTTATTGTTGGTGGGTGTGTGTACTGAAATGGCCATTTCAGAAAACAATTTGTTATTCTCAATAAGGTGAACATTCACATACCCATCAAGACAACAACTCCACTTTTTGATATGTGCATCCTCAGAGAAACTGTTTAACATGGATAACAAGACTGTTACAACAATGATCATTTCAGCCCTTTTTGTAGTAATCAAAAAAAAGGAAATAATGTCCACTGCAAGGAGAATGGAAAAATATACCGTCATCTTTAAACAGAGAATACAGACGTGACAATGAAAAATCTCATCAAAAAGAACCATAAGAATGAATCTCAGACACAAATATGTTGGGTGAAAGACAAAGCCCTAAAAAAACTATATTATAGTTTACCATTACTGTAATACTGAAATTAAGCACAATTGTTTTTTCACTCATATGTGTGTGGATTTTTTTTAAACAAAGGAATAACAAAGGTAGCTTTCTAGATGGTGATTATGTCTATTGGGGAAAAGATAGGAAGATGCGAGAGAGGATAAGAATGTAACAACGGTCATTTTCTGTTAGCTTTGTAACTGTTGAATGAACCTATAAGTACAGTAAACACAATGCAGCAATCATCACCACTTACTACCACCTGCCCCCGCCTCACTACCACCAAAATTAAAGGCTTGAAAGGAAGATTTATTTCAGAAGGATCTAAAAAATTAATCAGATTTCCCAAAGTTCTCTATGTTCATAGCCCTTAGAATGACACAGAGTATTCGATCTCTATCTGATGAAAAGTATCAGTCTCACCTGCTTGGCAAACGTACCAACCTTTCATACCTGCTTGATATCTTATGTACAGTTTATTGCAAAAAGTGAAATTAAGTGTTTTGCTTTAAAAGGTGATAGAAATCTAAAATCTGGGTCATTTCCAGCTCCTGCTGGACTACAGGCTGTCTTCATTCTGGGCAAAGATCCCAGTGGGAAAATATAAATATCTTCTTAAATACCCGAGGGTACCTTAGAGCTTTGAAGACAAGGAGACGTGATTGGTAATGTGTCTTATTAACTTTGGTGCAGATTGAGGTAATGAACTACCTTGCTGATTTAACTGTCAGAATGGATAGCTTCTTCTGTCCTCAATGCATCTGAAGGACACAGCTGGAGAGGCTGAATGTACCAGCTTTACAGGTCACCTTTGCAAAATAAAATATAGTCTTGAAGCCCGAATTGGAGCTAAAAGCCACTTAGAATAACTGTTAAGCTTAACAGTTTGGATCTTAAAATTACTTTGAAATCACAGAATCCAAAGTGGCTTTGAAGGAAAGTACAAATAAAAAACTAAACTTCTGTTCAAAATAGTAGATGGAGCTGATGAGGTAACTCCCAACATATCCTGCTTCAGTTATACCAAAATACATGTTAAAATACAAAGGAAACATTTTTAATTCATAGCTGATCTGTAAAACATGTATATAGAACCTCAGGTGTGAGAAAGAAAAAGAGGGAAATGAAAGTAGAAAGTGGAAAATCAAGCTTATAAAAATACTGGCGTATCAGAACAGGGTATACGACATCAAAGCTGGGGCATTTAACACTAACTTGAGATGGGAAATGAGGCAAGCCAGGGAAATGGGAAAGAATGAAGCAGTGTGCCATCCACCCTGTAAGGAAGAAGTAGAACATCCCTAGCCATTGGAATATTATGATTTAGCAAGGAAACTATTGTTGGGGGATTTTGGGCTGAAAAATAAAGATCCACCCATAACAAACGGAAACTTAAGCTTGTATCACACATGAGGGCAGAGCATAAAATCTCTACAATCCTGATGGCAACAATACAAAAACTCAATAGCCCAGAGAAAAAAAAAGACAAAAATTCCAGTAAAGGCAATTCCTATTATAGATGAGCTCGCAAATAAACAAATAAACAAACAAAAACCTTACTAGCCACATGGGGAAATTCACTTCCATTAGAGGGAGTCATTAGTTGTAACAAATGGTAGAATCCATACCTTATGACATAAAGATAATAGAACAATTTTGGAGAACTGTACAATAAATATGCCTAGCCTCATGGTGTATGTTTCCCATAGAGTTTATTTGCTTGAGACTGGCAAGTGGAATTCACACCTAAGAAAAAGGGCTTGGTTGCCTACATTTCATTTTGGGAGATCATCTCTTTCTTGTTTTCACAAGCCCTGGTTTAAACAGAGAGAGCTGACGGAGACTTGAGGGGAGTGAGGTGAAGAGAGTTTGAATAGTTAGGCAATTCTTCTTTCTCACCCTTTTATGGGGATAGGTAGGGTAAACTCATCTGAATCATTTTATTTACAGGATCTAAAACAAAACCACTCATCTACTGGGTGGATATATTCAGGAAGGGGTGGTTGGTATTCATTTCCTGTTGAGCTGTTGGTATGGCCAAGAAGGAATCAAAAACAACTCTTTCAAACTTCTCATTCCTGAAAGGTACGGAGTATAGGTACTTCCAGTGCCCATAGGCTCTGAGTTGAGATATGGTAGGTAAATTAGACTCCAGGGCATCACTAAAGCATTGGTTAAAAAGACATAATATTCAAGAGCAGTTTGTGTAAAGCTGTTGACAAGCGTCAGCTTGAAATTCTTGTTAAACACTACGAGGTACTATAAAAGCCTAGGAGATCTTTTTTGGGGGGTTCAAAGCTCATATGAATAAGGCCAATCTGGATCCTCAACAGAGCGAATCAAGTCTATAGAGAACGAGCCAGGTCAGTGGTGATAATATATAGAAGAGGGACAACAGACTAGGCATTATAGATGTGTGTGGGTTTTAACAAAAGGGAACAGCAGTTGTGAGCAGCAAAAAAAGGACTTTCACATGAAGAGAGTATTTTTCCCTCTTCACCCTCCCTTATATCGACAGTAGATCTGTATCCAGAAACTGGGATGGAGGAGGAGACTGTGAGACCATTTATTCTCACTCCTGCGTCTGTATAAATTGCTGAAGCAACAGATTAATCTAAACTTGTGAAATATTTGATTAAGTTATGATATTTAAATTTAAATTAGAGTACATTTTAATAACTAAAAGTGAATAAAAAGTAATGAGATCCCAGAGAAATATTGTTAAAGAAGCCAACTACCAGGCAGAAGGTGAAATTTGACAGAGTTGGGTGTAGTTATTGGAAAAATAAGACGGTGTCATGTTTATTACTCATTAAGTTGAAACATTTCAGTCAAACAGATGGTATCTGTTTAAGTTGTTTAAAGGAATACATAGAATTAATCACAAAAAAGAAGAAAACCATAACAAAGAACAGATTTGTGAAACAACTCAATAAAATATTGAGAAATGGAAAATATGTTTTTTGAAAAAATATAAACACACATACATAAATGTAGAGAGATAAATATATATACAGACAAAGATGAGACTATTTCTCTATTGAAGGATAAATTACGCCACAGGCAGCTGAAGCGAGAATTTGAGAGTTGGAAGACAGATTTTAGAAAAGTATCCAAAATTGAGCAGATAGAGATAAGAATATAGAAAATATTAAAGGGAAACCAGTAACTGGAATATAAGAAGGGGATAGTCTTAATAGCTCTAAGAAAGTTTTCCCTTAGGAAGGAATGAAGAGATTGGGAAAAAGAAAATCTTCACAAAGACAATGCAGAACCACTAAAGAAATAACGTATCTGTTCTAATTAACACACCAGGTGACAAAGTATAAATGAAAGCAAATTTACACACAGACAAAGTTGAGTGAAACTGTAGAAGACAAAATAGGGTGAAACTGCAGAGCAGACAGGACGAAGAGAAAATTTAAAGGTACCAGAGAAAATGATAAAGAAACAATAACTTGACAGCAGATTTCCTAAAGGCAAAAAATTTCAAAAGACAAATAATATTTTCAGTGTTGTAGGAAAAAAAAAAACCTGTCCTTACATAATTTCCTGCTCAACTGCATCATTATCCAATACTCAGGGCAAAATAAAGGCATTTTCAATATGTAAAATCTGAACACATTTGCTACTCACACTCAAGGAAAGAGCAAGAAAGAAACTGAACACAGAAGCAAAGGGAAGAACAAAAGGCAAAACTGATCACAAAAACTGGGAAAATAGCATCGGTAAATCTAAATAAATATTATATGAAATAGTTAAAACAACAGCAGCAGCAACAGCAATTATATGGACTAATTTGGGGGAAATAAGGTGAAAATGAAATATGAGGCAACAATAACGCGGAAAACGGAAGAGGTAGGTTCAGAGTTAAACTATGCTAATGTTTCCACCATATTATTGTTAGAGAGGTATAGAGAAATATTTATAAGATAAAATAAAGTACATATTCCAAACCAGTGAAAAAGGACTAAAATGGAACTCAATAATTTGATAACTTCAATATGAATAGGGAATGTTAGAAATGTTATTATACATGAGAAGGAAATGGAAAAATAATCCAATAATTGGTCTTGAAAAGTTTGTTATTAATACGAAAACTTAAGAAAATCCCTTCGGAAAATGTACTCCAATATAAATTTCTAATGAATCACGGAGTATCATTTAAATGAACAACATGAATAATAGGGAACAATGATGCTTATTTAAGGACATTAAGAACATAAGAAAGTAATAGTAGGTGTTTTATTTAAACATTGTCAGAAAGCATTTCCTGGGTACAAAAAGTCCCTCCCTATTGTAACATGTTAGTGAATTAATTGTGGTTTTCTTGAGACATGTACAGTGCCATCAGATCCCTTCCCTTCCCATTCTTTGTTATATTTTATATAGCACTCACATAACACTGATACATAAGATACGTCATTATATCCTCAGAAACTGTAATATTTCCTGACATATAGAAGGCACTTTTCAAGAGTCTGAGGAGTGAATTGCATTTAAAAGAAAAGAATAAGGATGAGTAAAGAAGAGCTTAGAACTGATAATGGAGAAACTCGGATCACATTTTACAATTGGAAAATGATAATACTGTATTGGGAATATATGGGGTACTTTAGCTACAAATACATTTTAAAATATTTTTAAAGGTGTACTTTATTATTGATCTGAATCGTATCTTTCTTTAAATATCAAACCCTCAACATAGGAAGCAAACTAAATAATGTTTTTCAAAAGTAAAGAGGTACCTGAACACTTTATTAACCATATTCACCAAAATAACTCAGTCTGTGTGAGGGAAGGGGGCTTAAAGTCCAACTCATGTGCAATGTCTGGCAGCATCAGCATTTGTAGTGGATAAAGTTTTGTGCCCCTTGGCACAGTATTTTCATAAGAAAGGTCATAGCTTATTTTTGATGCAATTACATGGCCATCATTTGAGGCACCTGCTTTCTTTATCTAAATTCAGATAAGCATAATCTAGACAGTAAGGCCCATCCATAAAAGTTAAAGCAGAAGTTGTGATAATACATAAATATAATGCAAACCATCAAAAAATATAGAGCTGGTTAGGTAACATGTCTAACAAAGAACTCTATGGGGCACGGCAATTACTAAAGACAATTGTAGTAAAAACATACTTCTCTACAGAATGCTTTTCCCCAAAGATACTTAAATAAGTTTATGTACATACAAAAATAAGAAAAAATAAAGATCATTGTCTATAAATCTGGAGAAAATTTATAGGATTTTATGACCTAATAATAGTAATGAGAATTAGAAGCATAGCTACTCACATATATTGAGTACTAGGCTAAGTAGTTTAAAGAGAATAGCTCATTTAATTTTCTCAACAACTTATGAATTATGTATTATGTCTAGTTGACAGATTGAAAACAGGTTTACACAAGTTAAGCAAATGGCCCAAAGTCATACAACTTATAAGTGCCTGAATGAGGAATTCAAGCCAAAGTTGTTTTGCACTGGTATCCATGTTCTTAACCACTATGCCTCACATATGACCATGTATTGACATATCATTGACAAAGACCAAGAAAAGCAACTGACTTCCAAAGTCTTGCATTTCCCATTCAGCCTAGTGCAGAGCCACTGGTAGTTGGTGGTTAGAGTTTCAAGTTCCTTTTTTAAGGCCTCTTGTGCTACAGGTGGAGCTTGAGCTATGACACTATTTACAGACTCAGTAAGGAGTTTCACTTTCGCTTCTTTTTGTTGGGCCTCTTCTTTAGCTCTCTGAAAAATAAAGAATGCTCTCTTAATAGCATGAAAATAACTTTACATCCAAAATGCATTTCTATGAATCATATAATTTCTTTCTCACAACATCCCAGTTAGAATGAGAATTACAAAAATAAATCTAATATGAACTCCAGTCTCTTCCATAAATTTAAGTTTAGTTGAAATTGGAAAGTTAAAGAAATAATTTATTATAAGAATACAACAGATCTGTAACAAGAATAGACTGAAAAGTAGTCTGCATGGAGGTATGGATTTGTGGTCAAATATATACACATTGATATAAATACAATTGTTTGGAAAAGGCAAGAAACAAATATTTCAATATTAACTAGGTTAAAAAATATTTGGCAGTCTAGAATTGAAATCACTTATAAATTACTTGGATGAATAATATTGAAACCATCACAAATATCATTATTTAAGTTAAAGGATACTTAACATAGAAAGGTCCCCTTGATGCTATATTTAGGAACATATTTTGATAAAAGAAAGTTTCGTTCGAGAATTGAAAACACATGAGAGAAAGAGAAACCAAAAAAGGAGCTGCTGATATCAGAAGCTGGCCTGACACCCAGCTATGCCTTGGTCTTCTCAAGTGGAAAATAAACTGTTTCACAGAATTTCAACATTGGAAAAGGCCACTTTGTTTCCATAATGGATCAAGACCATGACAAGATCATTCCATAATCATGTCTGAATCCAGACAAAAACATCAACATTACCCAAACCACAAAACGCCCAACACTCTCCTATCCTGGTTAATATGAACGAACGCCGTTTCTTTATTAATTGCAACTTTAGCCTCATTCTGGTCTTCTCTCCTTCTGGACAAGATACGATACCCATATAGCTATCCCTACACACTAATGACAAGCAATCCAAAGTAAAGCTTTTAAACCCTCCCTCAAATCCCCTAACACAAGCACAAATCCTACAATGTTTTTTTTTTTTTTCATCCACACGCACCCCCTGGCCTCCATGTTGTGTATTCTCCCTCATTGCAAAAAATAATGAACCCAACTTGTTCAGCTACAAGAGAGTTGGTGGTGGTCTTCGGTTGGGAGACATTTACACTCCTTAACTTCAAATGCGTACATGTATTTTAGAAACACACACACATACACACTGTATCTTTAGTCTGTGTTCCTCCAGGGGTCAAACCTGACATTAGCTTTCAAATATAAGTAGTTTATTTATGTGTGCCATGTAAAAGAAATTCTGGTAGCTGAATGGGGAATTGAGACAAGAAAGGGAAGAGACATCCATATGGGCATACTTATTAATCCCAGCAAACACTGTTAATGACTAGAGTTTAATCCTGTTAGAAAGCCCTGAGAAATATATGCCTGCGGGTTATCCCATTCAGGGGTGAAGAAATTGGGGTATTATTTCTGTATCATCTTCCCTAATTGTTAAAGGCTGTTGGGGAAATGTTAATTTCCCAGTACTTGCAAGCCTACCACACAAGTGCAAAAGTGGGATTCAGTGGCCACAGAAAGCCCTCAAGTAAAGGAACTCAGGTTCTATAATGTAGAAGTTGGGCCTGCATACAATGCGGTGGTTAAGGTAAGGGCTTATTGGCAGGATATGGATAAGGTCAGCTATAAAATGCCTTTGTATGTGTCAGCATAATCACCCTACTCCTTTGGATTTAGTCCCACAATTCCTTAAAAGTATGCATTATGTCAGAAAATGCAAATTGTTTTGTCTATAGAATGCTTAACTTCACCGATTTTAATTGATTGAAATCTTTAGTTCAATATTCTAAATAAATCAGCTTTTTGGCATCACTGAGCATAGAGATTGTTTTTACACAAATTGCATTTTGACTTTAGTAATTATAGTATAATCAACAAGTTTGATTACCATTCATCATTTAATATGTGCTACTGTGTTCTGTGCCAGCCATGTCATAAGTGCTACCTCATTAGATCTTTACCCAAACCTTCTCGGATGTGTTTTGTTACCTCTATATTGGACATTAGAAAACTGAGGTTCAGAGAGTTTAAGGAAATCATCCTCAGAGTTATATCCTCTCTTTCTCATAGTTTCTGTTAAGCGGGTCTCAAATGTTCCATGAGCTGAAGAAGGAGCATGCTGTAGTCAGTCTAATGAATAAAATTACAATTTATGCTCATTATAAATAACCCAAGCAACTATATAAAAATGTAGAATGAAGAACACTTCTTTCCATGGTTTTTAGACTTCATATATTCTTGGTTTAATAAGAGGCTCAGATCTTGGGAAAGGTTCGAAGAACAAACAGCAAAATTTATTAATCCAGGTACATATGAGGAAAGAAGATGATGATGAATTTCTCTACTAGGAGAAAAGGTAGAAAGCTAAATGACTGGTACAGTTTCTATACAAATCCTCATAAAAACGGTGGCTCTTGTTTCTTTCCATGAATCTAACTATGATATGCTCTGCCATCTTTCATTGCTAGGATTTCACACCCGTGCTTCTTAAAGTGAGCACCCTTGGAATCACTCTGCAACTTGTTCTTTGGTATCAAACTCAAACTTGTTAAAAATGAAAAACTACAGGCCTCACCCAAGACTCACTGAATCAGAAATTCTGGGGTCAGGGCCCAGCACTCTGTGTATTAAACAAGACTTCCAGGTGATTCTGATGTCCATTCAGATGCAGGAATCACTGCTGTAGTGATTATACAAATTTATTTGTGTATTTACTATTCTCACTTTATGTGTAAGTTCTGGTAAGCACTAGTACTAGAGTTATAATAGAGTAAAAATTAAAAAAAAATAAAACCAGTTAATAACTTTCCAGAGTGTTTTTCAAAGGGTTTTAGTATAAAGTTTTACCATATAGTGATTGCTGATCTCCATAAAAGTTTTAAAGTCAGAGGTTGTTTATCAAACTGTACCCTGGGTTCTTTTATGTCAAAAAAACTTTCCTTTTCAGGGGAAAAATAAGTTATTAAAACAGCACTTCCATTTTCAGGTAAAACACAGGAAAGAACATAAACAGAAGGGGGGGTCTCTATTTCTTCTTTGAGTATCAGGGAGAGATGTCAAAATAGGTCTGTTAGTATCTTCTGACAATAAAGAAAAATTAGCTATCAAATGAGCACAGGTAGAAGTCTGGACAAGGTACTATTGCTAACCTCCAGGTAGTGAAGTTGCCTTAAAGAAACTGTCTTGAGTAGCAGGCTGAAAACTCAAGAAATGAAATCTTCCTGCCAACTCTTCCAGTGGTTGTTGCCAGAGGCTTCCAGAGTTTACCTCTTTTTACTATCACCCCCATACTAAACCAATTTTGTAGCTAGACCAATTATCAAAACATGTCAATCAATGTAGACAAATTTGTTGGAACACTCATTTCAAGGATGGTTTTCAAATTTTAAAAATTTGAGACAGTTTACTCTAGAGCACAGGAAAATAAGAGAGATCTGACTGGGTTGTTGGTGACATAGGCAAATCGCTCATAGGGAGAGGGAAGAGGGCCAGAAGAGGCACTGAACCAAAGGAACCCAGGGATAATCAGAGCAGCTGAACACAAATGACTCTATAGTATCTACTTACGGATCTGAGGTAGTGGCCATATATAAATAGACGCAGTGAGAAAGGAATTGAGATACAAGAGAAAAGGCCATATGAGTGACACACAATGGAAAAGAAAGGAAAGGAAAAGGAAAGGGAAAGTGAAAGTGAAAGTGAAAGTGAAAGTGAAAGGGAAAGGGAAAGGGAAAGGGAAAGGGAAAGGGAAAGGGAAAGGGAAAGGGAAAGGGAAGGGAAAGGAAAGGGAAAGGGAAAGGGAAAGGGAAAGGGAAAGGGAAAGGAAAGGAAAGGAAAGGAAAGGAAAGGAAAGGAAAGGAAAGGAAAGGAAAGGAAAGGAAAGGAAAGGAAAGGAAAGGAAAAAAGAGATGAAATAGAATAAAATACCTTCAATCCTGTGGGCTCTACCACAAATAAAGTCTGTGACTATGGCTAAATCATTTGACCTATCTGGGAATTGCAGTTTTCTGATAAGCAGAGAGAGAAGTGTGAATTACACAAGTTTCAAAGTACCTTCTAGCTCTCACATTCTGATAAAGTTTTCCTCAGGGGTGACCTCCCCAAAGTCAAATTTTAAATTATTTTGGTCTTTTGAAATACTCCAATGGTTTTTCTTGTCCATTTAGAATAAAAACTGTGATACTCTAACAAAACCCGTTTGTTAACAGATATTTGCCCACCTCCTAAGACTTATCTGAGGTAATTTTATCCCATTTTCCTTCCTTCAGGCAGATTTCTTTCTCTTCCCAATTAGCTTCAGGGTCTTTGCAGAAGCTATGCTCTCTGAATAGAATGTGTTTCCATAAAGATTTTTTTAAGTGGTTGGCTTTTCCTTATGATTCAGTTCTCTCATATTACATACAATTCTTCATAAATGCTCTATAAGTCAAGTTTTTCTAAAATAGCATCCTACCACCCTCAAATCCTGCCTGAACATTATTCATTCTTGATTTCAAAATCCATGTTTACTTCTAGGCAAATTATCATGATTTCATTTATTTTTCCATTTATTGCCTGCTCCTCACCACACGCTAGAACACTAGAATGTAAATTCCAAGGCAGTGGTCTTGCTCACCACCCTCTATATTCAGTAGCCAGAGGGTGTTTGGCACACAGTAAGTATGCAATAAGTTTTAGTTGATAAATATGCTATTGCTAGATTAGAATAATTCTGTGTTTTTAATACTCTAGAAATGATTATACTAATTTTTTCTTCATTATAGTTTTATACACACATAATATTTATACATATTTATGGAGTATATTAGATATTTACTTTCAACATTTGACTAAAGCCGTATGACAGATTCGATATTTAAACATCTGAGTTTTCATGTGAGTTACTTTCTGCTATTAACTATAATAGATATTTCTGAATTACCATTTAATTATATAATTTTTTACCATGTGGCCCTTTCACAATTAAAATAATAAATAATGAGTCATGGTCATTTATACTGTGCTAGGCATTGTGTTAGAAATTTCATATTTCATCCCTCTAATGATTCTGAAAGCAGACATTCTGATACCCAGTTCACAAACGAAGGAATTTGGCTCAGTAAGCTCATGTAACTCACCCCAATTTATACAGTTGGCATGGGGCCGAACTAAGTTTTAAACTCAAGTATCTGGCTCCACATTGATTTTTCCTTGTCACAATCCTTGAACCAAAAAAAGATCTACAGTATTAATATTTCAAGTCATTCTCTAAGTTCTTGCTAGCACATAAAAATAATAATTATGATTATAGCTACTAATTGAGCACCAACTCTGAGTTAGGCAATTTACTCACATGGTAGTTACAATCAACAGTTCATACATTCAAGTGAGGAAGTATGATGATATAAACATGATAAAACAGAGGATTATATTGACTATTATATTGTTGCCCAAGGCCATACGAAATGCCACTATGTAGGTTCAAGTCCAGGCTTCACCTCCAAATCCATACTACATACTACATACCAGTTTCCTTCGTAATAAGTCAATGTTATATTTTGTCCTATTGTTTCAAGAAAAGTACATGTAAACTCAGTCCTTTCTATCCATATTAAAGGCTACGGGTTCAAATATTTAGTGTTTCCAAATTCTCAGAAATGCCTTCAAACTACCAAATTAACACAGTTTGTTGACTACATTATAAATTTGTCTTTTCAAGAATACTTTTGCACAGTTTCAACGTACATTTACATCAGCTACAGACAGTTAATGAAATGAGTTGATTCTGCTCTCTTAATACTACATGATTTCAAGGGAAAATTGTTTCAAATTGTGATTTTCAATTTTCATAATTGACCACAATGCATTAAAATTAAACAGTTTAAGGTTGTTAAAATGTATATTAAACTTGAAGCTAAATTAAAATTATTAATTAAAAATCAACCTCTTCTCTTAGAACCAGGAAAGAGCAGACTGTATACAACTTCAAGCATTGTTGCATTTCTTTCTTTTTCCATTTATTTCCTTTGTTTTACTTAGTTTTTCTTTTTTTTTTTTTACCTTCATCTCTTCAACTGCTTTCTGTAATTCATCTGGAGTTTTATATTCAAAATCTCTCTCAAGATACTCTTCTTCAGCTTGTGTCATCCATTCGTGCATCTCTGATAGATCTTTCTGGAGGCTTACAGTTTTCTCCAAACCTCCCTTCAAGGCCTCCTTTCTGGCATAGACCTTCCACAAAACAAACAAACAAAACACGATTATTGACAGTGATGAAACATTATTATTATATTATTTCATCAGTATGTAAATAACAGAAAGCTTAGATAGTAATGATAAAGAAGTAAAAAGCTTATATGCATAAGAAAATAACTCATGGGGATCAGATACACTCAATTTCCCATAAGTGTGAAAATAAGACATGTCTGTTTATTTGGCATACTTAATAAAATGAACGTATTGCCCGATGATGATAATTCAGCTGTTTGTGTGACAATGCTTTTCTGTGAATGGAGAAAAACAAGGCTTTTTAAAATAATATGTTTCAGTTGGAAAAGTAATTTTATTGGCATACATAGAAATAGTTATTCTTTGTGTTCTTTCATAATGTTTTACTATTTTAAATATTCTAAGAACTTCATAATCATGTATCTACAGAAACTCTCATAAATTAAAAAGAAAAAACGAAAAGTGCATAAAACGTAGTTTGGCAATTCACAAAGAAGATAATATATGGCAATACATGTATATAAAAGATGTTCTAATACCATTTATAGTTAAATGATTGCAAATCGAAGTGAATTAATGCATTTTCACATGTTAAGACAGGGAAAAATAATAATTAATAAAGAGCCCATTTTGGGCAGGGATGTGGGAAAATCAAAGTTTTTATACTTGTTGAGGGAAATATCCAACATAATACAACCTTTTAGATAGTAAGATGGCAAAACATATAAAAATGTTAATGTCCACGAATCTGAGTCAACTGCTCCATTTTTTGAGAGTGAATCATGCCAACCAAAGTGTAGAGACTAACATGTACAATATTTAATTCAGCTTTAAAGACCAAACATCTTGAAAACAAACCCAAAGGTGCTTTCATGAGAGATTAAATTATGACATATATATACTATGGGATACTGTGCATCACAAATACATCTTTACTGAAATGAAAAGTGGCTCAATATAAAGTTTTACGTGTAAAATGCAAGTTGCAAAAGAGTCTGTCTGTGGTTATAGAAAACATCTGCTATTTAAAGCCTCACGCATTTTTGAAAACTAAAACTTTCTACAATGGACTCCATTACTCATTAACCAGAAAAATGCAAAACTTAAAACATCTAAAAGAAAATCATACACCTTGTTACAAGGCACTCTATAGTATTACAATCATTATACATAGTGCTTTTACTTTAAAAAGTAACTCTATTCAAAAGATGGTATTCTTCTCTCTGGTTGAAACAACATTATACATTTTAAGTAACAGAGTTTTCATAGTATTAATATATAATGCACAGTTTTAGTAAAATGAAGTGTTCATGGTACTTTGCCCAATAGTAAATATGTGTAGAATCACTATCGCATTGATTTTCCTTATAATTTACAACCATTTTGAGCCTAATATAGATAATACTTCATTTTAGGTTCTTTACTTACCTAGGTAAATGTAGTACTTGATCTACTACAATGTAAATAAATGTTTCACCCTAACACATCTAGAACAATATGTCTTGCAATTGTACTAGAAAAGGTATAAATGTTATTTTGTGCAGTCAATGAACCTATAATAAACTTAAGAAAACATGCTGCTATTTTTGCTATTTTATAAATTAAGAAATCCTGCTGCTAAATTTCTACTTAGAAACTCTGCTCTGTTATAATCTTTTAAGGCAGTTGGTGAAGCTACAAAAATATTAGAGGGACTAATGGAATTCAGCCAAGACTTCTAGTAAAAACTATACATTCACATACATACTTTGTGTGTGTGTGTGTGTGTGTGTGTGTGTGTGTGTGTGTATGTGTGTGTGTGTGTGCACGTGCTCAAGTATGGTGAGATATTGTTGGATCCTGGAAATTTTGAAGGCAAAAACGACAGCATTTGGTGATAGATTTGATGTTCGGCTGTAAGAGAAATATAGGAGACAAGAAAATCTCGTGGGATTTGGCTTGAATAAGTGGAAAGATGGAGGTGCCATTTGTAATAACAGGCAAATTTCTAGGGTAGTAGACTGGGGTATACATCAGGAATTTTGTTTTAACATGTTAGATTTAATATGCCTATTATTAATTGATGTGGAGGTGTTGAGTGGGCAAATGGGTATGCAGGTCTAGGATCATTAGAAAGGGTCCAGATTGTTAAAAAAAAAAAAAAAAAAAACTTACAGCAGGAACAACTTACAGATTACATTTAAAACTATGGAGCTTGATAAGTTGACCCGGAGAGTGGGTGGTAATAGGGGGAAAAAAAAAAGGAGTCCACAGACTGAGCCCTGGAACACTTTCAAATTTAGTGGTCAGGGCAATAGAACCACCAAGGATATTGACAGTGGTCAGGGAAAACTAAGAGATAATTAAGAAAGAATGATGACACAGAAGCCAACTGAATTTAGCGATTTAGTAATACGAATTCACTGATGACCCTGACAAAATCTGCTTTAATAGAATAGTGAGGATAACAGTTTGATTAGCTCTCTTAATTGGCATCAAGAGAGAAGGGAAGGAGTGAAATGGAGAGAAAGGAATGTCTGTAAAGGGAAACGGGAATGGAGAGGTTGCTAGAGAGATTGTTGTCCAATTGAGGATTCTTTTAAATGACAGGAGATATTACAGAATAATTCTCTACTGATGGGAATGATGGGAATGATGTAGCGTGGAGAAGATGTAGGAGGTAGAGGGCTGTTCATTAGCTGTTACAATGTCCTTGTGCAGAGACAAGGGAAAGGGATCCAGGTACGTAAGTGGAAAAGCTGGCCTTAGACAAAAGCACAGAAAGTTCATCTATGTAAACAAAGGGAAAGTAGAGTCTGTGAGCTTATATGCAGGTCAGTGGGAGTACTGCAACTTCTATTCTGATTGCTTATATTTTCTCGGTAAAACAAGAAGCTAGTTTTTTGCAGAAAGATGGAAAAACAGACTGTTAGAGATCTGACGAAAGAGATCTGGGGATCACTACACCCAAAGAGTATACTGACCCAGAGAAAGACAATGATCTGCAAGCTGGCAGAAAGACATCCACGTAACCTCTAAATCCCATTTATTGATAACTATTTACTATAAATTTAAAGCCACTAATAATTAAAATATATAACCATATATTATTTACTTAGAAAGTATACATGTTTTATAATTCTATATATGTAGGTTTCTATTTGTTTTCTATCTAACAAACATGTACAGTGATTAATCTAGGTTAGATGAGGCTCTATACACCTTGAAAAGATGAATTCATTTAATTATTATATACTTATGAATTATGTATTAATATCATCACATTTTAAAGATTGGGAGACTCAAGCACAAAAAGGTTAAACAACTTTTCTAGAATCACACAGGCAGTTTATGATGTGGATAGACTTAAACCCAGGCGATCTGATCTCAGAGCTTCTGGTCTTACACACTGTGCCTTTCCATCCACAAAAAAAATATTCTCCAGTATTTGACCGCGTGTGTCTGGTTTATTTCACTTAGCATACTATCCTCCAAGTTCATCTATGCTGCTGCAAATGGAAGAATTTTCTTTTTTAAAGCTACATAATATTCCGTTATATGCATATACCATGTTTTATTTATTTGACAATATACATTTAGATTGTTTCCATGTCTTGGCTATTGTAAATATTGCTGCTGTAAACATAGGGGTGCAGATACCTCCTTGAGATCCTGATTTTATTTCCTTTGGATATATATCCAGAAGCGGGATTGGTGAATCAAATGGGAATTCTATTTGTAATTTTTTGAGGAACCTCCAAACTGTTCTCCCAAATGGCTGCACCAATTTACATTCCAACCAACACCATAAAAGAATTCCCTTTTCTCCACATTCTTGCCAACACTTAGTATCTTTTGCTTTGTTTTGTTCTGATAATAGCCACCCTAACAGGTATGAAGAGGTTCTTGTGGCTTTTAACTGCATTTTTCAGATGATTAGTGATGCACCTTTTCATATACCTGTTGGTCATTTCTACGTATTCTTTAGAGAAATGACTATTCAAGTCCTGTGCTCATTTTTAATCAGGTTATTTTTCAGTTTTATTTTTGCTATTGAATTTTAGAAGTTCCTTATATATTTTGGATATTAATCATTTGCCAGACATATGATTTGTGAATATTTCCTTCCATTCCCTAGAATCTAAAATAGTCAAACTCACAGAACTAGAGAGTAGAATAGTGGTTTCCAAAGGCTGAGAGAGGGGAAAATGGCAAAATGATGCCCAAAGGATACAAAGCTTCAGTTATGCAAGATGAATTAGCTCTGCAGATCTACTGTACAACATTGGGCCTATAGTTAAAAATACTGTATTGTTAAAAATATTCCAAGAGGATAGATCTTAGGAGCTCTTATCACAAAACAAAAAAAATAAATAAATTAAGGGGCAGAAGGAAACTTTTGGAGGTGATAGGTAAGTTTATCATCTTGAATGTGGTAATAAGTCTCATGGGTATACGCTTATCCCCAAACTAATCAAGTTGTATAAATTAAATATGTACAGCTTTTGGTATGTCAGTCATACCTCAACAAAGTGGTTTAAACAAAAATAGATTCTCTTCCATCTCTAAGAGTTTACGAATTATCCAATTTGACCAAGCATTTTAGGGATGGGAGCATGGGGAAATCTTCTCAATAGGCAAGAAACAGTATCTTATATACATGTTATCTTTATTTTTATGTACCTCGTTTATATGCCCAGTTTGAAAAGTGTACTTGACTTCCAGATACATGTCTGATTGTCTTTTTCTCCGAAATAAATATGGCTAAGATGGAACCGCTAGTCACTCTAGTAAGCTATTCCATTTTGTTCTTCTCTTAGTACCCACTCTTTCTTTAAAATCACAATGACCTACAATGTAGCTCATAACAGAAATATATCTGAAAACACTTTGATTCTTCCCTCATTCTTCCTCTAGACTATCAACAAACACTCTCCTTCAGCAAGTACTGCCAGATCTAATGGGATCTGTTAAAAAGAATAAAGGAATGTGTCATGTTAGGATAGGAATAATACTTCTGGGTAGATGTAAGTGTGAAAGTCCTCATCAAAAATGTAATGAGGATACTAATCCTCTGTTGGATGAGTAGTTTGCAAATATTTTTTCCCATTCTGTGGATTGTCTTTTCATTCTGTTTACTGTTTCCTTTGCTGTGCAGAAGCTAGAAACTCAGATATCATAAAAAGAAAAATAACGATTTTATGATATAAAACATCATATCATATGTGGATGTGATGGGATTCAAAAATGGGCAAATAATCTGAACAGTTATTTCCAAAAGAAGAAAAAAATGGCCAATTAATATATGAAAAAAAAATTCCACATCGGTAATCATCAAATAAATGCAAACCAAAACCACAATGAGGTATCACCTCACCCCAGCTAGGATGTATATTGCCAAAAAGACAAAAAATAATTGTTGGCACGGATGCAGATAAAAAGGAACTACACTACACTGTTAGTGGGAATATAAATGGTACAGTCACTGTAGAGAACAGCATGGAGGTTCCTCAGAAAACTACAATATCCACAAATATCCCCTTTTTCCTGCCTGTTTTTTTTTTCTACCTGGACAATTGCAATCCCTACCTGCTTCCACTTCAGCCCTTTTGATTTATTCTTCTTCTAATAGGAATATGCAGCAAACTTAAAACAACCATTTTAAATGAAATGAAATGATGCCACTCCTATGCTTAAAAGTCAGATGACTTTCCAAAGTACTTGACATAATGACTAAATCATCACTGTGGCTTCCATATTCCTTTCTGACTCATTTTCCCACTCTTTTTCTCCTGGCTTCCTTTGAGCTCCTCAAACATGCTAAGCCCTCTCTTGCCTCAGATGTTTTCTCCACTTCATTTTCTGGCAGAATTCCTTGACACAACAAATTGTCAAGTTCCTACTACTCGGGTATCAGCTTTAATTTCGCCTCTTCAGAAAACACTCTACTGACTACCCAATAGAAAGTAGTTTTCCTGCTCCTGTCACTCTCATTTAAAGGGTTCTTATTGCTACATTCAGAGTGTAAGCAAGACTTCAAACAAGACATTGTTGTGATAATGTGTTAACCTATTTACTTTCCATTTTCACCACTAAACTATTATCTCCGTGAAGGTAACTACAATGTCTATTTTATTCCCTCACTTATATCTGATCATTTTTTTAGAAATAGCTAGAATCTAGATTTTTAAACTTATATACATACCCTTTAAAATTTAAAATAATAACCATTTTATATACCCAAAATTAGATCATGGGATGTGAAAGCATCTTCAAATGTATCAGATATTTGGACAATTTTGTTTCAAATTATTTATGTTTTCGCAGACATTGGCATCTGGTGACAAAAAAGGAATTATCTTTAACCCAAAAGAGTGTATCACACACTTATTTTGTCTGTAGATATTTCTGTAATGCATAGATTTACACTTCATTTCCATTATTCTCTCTGGAATGCTGAATTGGTAACAATATTCACATATGGCTTCCTTGTTTTTACCGCATCGTCTTCTTCTTCTCCTTGAGCGCCATTGTTCCTTCCTTTTACAACCTAACTCATTTGGCTACAAAGTCAGAACATGGCCAGAGTGATACTTGTAGGAAAAGCACAGATACATATAATATTCTAAGATTAGAAAATGGAGATCAGAACATAGCTTGGATCTATAGCTTTTTTGCTATGCAACAGATGAGTGTGTTTAAAATATATCTCTTGAACAACAAATTCTTAGTACATATAACAGACATAAGGTCTTAAGCAAAGACATTTTTAGAGAGCCTTTACAAATTGTACTCCTGTAAAATGTAAAAACCTTGAGGTTTTAGTAATATTGTTGGTTTTATACTTTTTTTTTTTGGCTGATGTTTTCCCCTTGCTCTACATAAATTGGTGATGTTCTTTTTATTCATCCATTAAGAACATTCAACAAACAAAAAACAAATACCTTTCACACTGGCCTTCCAGGAAAACATCAATGGTATAATCTATTATTTAAGTAATATTTTTTTTTTTTCCTAAACAACTCTTCTAGCACTGACTTACTTCAGGAGAAGAATGTGAGCTAGCTGACCCAGGGACAGCTCATCTGTGAATTAACAGAACCAATGAACACTTGTCAGTGATTGTATTAGCTGAGTGATTTCCCTTGACTTTTCTAATTTTTTTTTTCATTTTCAAATGTAGCTTTTGCCTTTTGACATTACTTCTTTTCTATTTTGAAAGTTTACTTAGCAGTAACCAAAGACCAACTGCCTCTAACACGTAAATTGAAACCCCTTATTAATTTCCAAAAAGGTACAGTAGTTCCCTTGTATCTTTGGAAGATATGTTCATACCAAGACCTCCAATAGATGCCTGAAACCATAGATGATACCTAACCCTATATACACTAGATTTTTTCCTACTCATACATACCTATAAAATTTAATTTATAAATTAGGCATAGTAAGAGATTAACAACTAATAAAATAGAACAAGTTATCTCTCTTCTTCTCCCTCTCAAAATATCTTATTTTACTGTGCTCACCGATTTTAGGATTCCAATTGACCACAAGCATTTGAAACCAGGGAAAGCAAAACTGCAGATGATCGGGGACTAATGTATTGGTGAACTTAAAAGTATTCATTGCTTTAGTTCAAAATTTTATCTTTCGAACAAGAAGTATTTGATATACACTATTTTTGAATATATCTTACTATCCGTAATTGAATATTTAAATATAAGAGAGATATCTATAAAATATTCTTCTGTAGAAAAATGAGAAACTCAAATATGAGTGTACAGTCATTTTGTGTGTGTTTTTTTTTGAAATTCAGCTATTCTTAATGGTTACTGAATCTTAATTGTTATTTAAAACTAGATGTCAGCCAGGTGTGGTAACTCACACCTATAATTCCAGCATTTTGGGAGGCCAAGGAAAGAGCATTGTTTGAGCCCAGGAATTCAAAACCAGCCTGGGAAACACAGCAAGACCCTGTCTCTACCAAAAAATAACAAAAAATTAGCCAGGCATGGTGGCACACACCTGTACTTCTAGCTACTTGTGGGGACTGAGATGGGAGAATTGCTTGAGCCCAGGAGGTTGAGGCTGCAGTGAGCCGAGTTCACACCACTGCACTCCAGCCTGGGTGACAGAGGGAGACCCTGTCCCAAAAAATAAAATAAATAAATAATAAATGTGTCGAAGAGGCCAAACTTGGAAATGTTAATCGAAAGTTATAATTATTTATCCTATTTCTACATACACATATATTAGCCATGCATTTTATTTTGTACCAAATATCTCCGTGTAACAAATTTTTCTTAATCCCATTATTATTATACATTTATGTTCTGAAGAAAACATGGATTGGAAATAATGACTAAGAATAGGATTTCATTTTTTAGTATGACAGTTGTGTTCAAGAAAGTCATTTTAGGATCAAAATAAGATGAATGTGTACTATTTAAAATATATACCATGAAAATATTTAGATATGCTAGAAAAAAGATTAATTTGTCAGAATTAATTGTGCTTTAAAGCAAAAACATAGGAACAAAGCCTTAACCAAAAGTAACGGTGAAGGGAGACATTAGGAAATCTTAGTTAAGTACGTTGAGGCAAGCCACAGTGAAAGAGATTGTCTATACCTGTTGGCACATGTGATCCCACTGAGTGTTAAGTTCTTTGAGTTCTGTCTCAAGTCTCGAAGCAAACTCTGGCTCTGCTTCATTCTTTATCTTCTGCCCACCTTCATTGACACTGTTTAGACTGGGCTGAATTGTCTGAATATCACTGACTAAAAGCTAAGAAAATAAATCAATTTAAGCCAGCTGAAAAAAATTACTGCCACATATTAGATATGAAACATAGCTAGAAAATGTAAAATTGGGACTGATGGCATTGCATATGGATTTTTGTCTTTTAAAATCTGAGATACAGAGATATTGATATAGATGACTGCCTAACAGTCTTGCAAAAATGTTCAATGGTTATTATGGCATGAATCCAGTGGGGAATTATTTGTATTCTACTTATATCAGAAACAAAAGGAAATAAATTTAATATTTCTGGTTAGAAAAATGTGTGAAAATGATGGGCTTCATACTTTATTATCTTTGTTAGTATTTTCATTTTCAAACACAGGATACTGCAGAAATTGTTTACAGTGTAATGGGTGTGAAGGTTATTTGTGAGGTGGATTTGCTTTTTTAGCTTGTATTGTAAAAAAATTTCCTTAAAGAGCAAGATTGTTTTCTTCCTGCTGCATGACAATGGTATAATGAATATTATTTCAAAATGCATACTGTGTTATATTATAGTACAGTGCATTATAGATGAAGAGAACAACACAGTATGAATAGTAATTTATCATAAGAAATAACAAGTAGCTCAAAGGATTCTTTACCTTTAAATTATACTGCATTTTATAGTAAAATAATGTTATCAAATGAGGTTGAGTACAAGGCAATGTTTTGTCAGTTCCTCATTTACTCAACCCAGGGTTTCTCAACATTGGCACTAGTGACATTTTAGATTGTGCAGTTCCTTGTTCTGGAGGAATGTTCTATGGACTGTACGATATTTAGCAGCATCTCTCTCCTCTACCTATTAGACACCAGTAGCATCTAACCACCACCCCCAACCCAGCTGTGACAATCAAAAACGTCTAGAAACATTAAAAAAAATCCACTGGGGAGAGGAGAGCAAAATCCACCCCAGCTGTAAAACACTGATCTAACCAAATAATATTCATACAAAATTATTCATATTAAAGGCATCATATAAAAATCTTACTCTGCACTGTTTCAGCTGCTTTTTTAGAATTTCTGAATCCCCAAGGGCAGGCCATTCCTCCTTCAGAAAAACATCAACTTCAGCCATCCATTTCTTCAGGGTTTGTATGTGATTCTGAAACGAGACCCGTTATAAGGCATTACTGGTGTGCTGATTACTTTTAACACAATTCATCATTGTGTTATGTCTAAACACAGGCCCAAAAACAATTCCCATGTTTAAAGGATGTCTCTAAGTAGTTCTTGAGGCAAAGAATATTTTTACTAAGACTGCATTTTTATGGTCTACTGTATGAGCACTGGTGTGTGAAGTCTGCTATTGTTAAAAATACAAAATTACTACCAAATGTGGTTTTATGATGTTACTCTCGAGAACATTAAATCATATCCCCCTCTAGAGAAATTTTAAGTTACAAAACAACTCATGAGAATACTAAAAATGTGTCCTTACAGTACATAAAACAAACTATGAACAATAAACTCAATGTAATGGTGTCTTTATAGCCTCCCTAAACCCGAACTTTCACAAATTATTTTCTACAGATGACAGTTTAAATAGTCCTTCCAGTTGGGAACTTTTGGACTAATATTTTGTCATCTTCAAAGACAGAGCTTTTGCTTTTATTTGTCTGACCAGTACGAAGTAATGATCAGGTAAAAATCATCATCTTTTATCATTTATAAATAGCCAGTATCTCTCACCCATGATTCTTTCCCGTATTACCTTTTTTTCTGCTGTTTTGCCACTTCTAAAAAGTATGATTCAACTATGCTGTCTACATGTGTTATTTTCTTCTGTTTTACTTAAATTTACATTGAAAATATGTGCTCCACAGAAAGTTTCCCCTTTAATGTGATTATTAATAATAATTTTTAAACTATTTATCTAAGAGAACTTCAAGACGATCACCTTGCTGTTATCTTTCAAGTCTACATTTGTTCTTATTTCACATCTTCACTGTCCTTGTTCAGGTCTTTTTTTTTTTGTTTGTTTTTTGTTTTTTTTTTTTTTTTTTTTTGAGATGGAGTCTTGCTCTGTCGCCCAGGCTGGAGTGAAGTGGCACAATCTTGGCTCACTGCAGCCTCCACCTCCCAGGTTCACGCCATTCTCCTGCCTCAGCCTCCCAAGTAGCTGGGATTACAGGCGTGCACTACCATGCCCAGCTAATTTTTGTGTTTTTAGTAGAGACAGGGTTTCGCCATGTTGGCCAGCATGGTCTTGATCTCTTGACCTCGTGATCTACCTGCCTCAGCTGCCCAGAGTGCTGGGATTATAGGCATGAGCCACTACGCCTGGGCTGTTCAGGTCTCATTAGTGACTCCATTAATGCACTGGCTCGTTTTGATATCTGCCTCGGTCTCACCTCATTCTAATTACTGATCTACAGTGATGCCAGTAATCTCCTCTCCTCCTTCCTCTCATCTTGGGAATGTTTTGAAAACACAAGTGGAATCATATTATTTCCCTCTTTAACCAATAGCAGTTTTTTCTTATTAAGTTTTTATTGTTATTATTATCAGTCCCATCACCACTAGATTAAAACTCAGATTGTAAAACATAGCATCCAAGGACATTCACTGTCTACTCTCAATCCAGTTTTCCAACCATAATATTTTATTAATCCCCATATATATTGTCTACCCAGTGTTGAACTTATATCATTTAACTGAAAATGCTGCTATGCTTTCTCAAGAACTCTTTCTTTCTCGGTATTAGCTAACTAAATTCTACCTATTTAATCTATAGCAGAGACAACCTATGTTCCGATAATATTTCATAATCCTTTTTCCTAGTTTATGTTGGATTTCCTTCCTGCCTACTGTGACAACCTTTCCCATACTGTTTAATTTATTTACCATGCAAGGCTGAATAATGCTACCCCCAAGATGTCCTCACCCTAATCTCTGAAACCTGTGAGTATATTACCAGAAAGGACTTTGCAGATGTGATTACATTAAGGATTCTGAGATGGGGAGATTATACTGGATCATCCACCAGGGCATAATGTAATCACAAAGGTCCTAATTAAAAGGAAGTCAACACAGGGAACAGGATAGGGAAAGGAAGGTGAGAAGGAGAGGTAGAAAGAGAGGGAGAGGGAGATAGACAGGGAGAGAGAAATTGACACTAGATGATGTTACACTGCTGACTTTGAAGATGGAGGATGGGGACATGAGACAAGGAATGCTTCTAGAAGCTAAAAATGCCAATAAAACAGACTCTGTCGCAAAGCCTCCAAAACAGACAAAGTCCTGCTGACACCTTAATTTTAGCCCACTGAGACTAATCCTGAACTTTTGACTTCCAGAACTCTAATAAATTTGTGTTGCTTGAAGTTATTAAATTTCCGGCAATTTGTTAGGAGTGCCATAGGAAATGAATACACCTACCTTCCTCCTTCACTAGAATGTGGGCTCCTTGATAACAAGAGCCATGTAATTGTGCCCTCTTAGGCCACTGGTCTTGACAAATAATAGATATTTTCATGCAGTATTTACATAGGTATGCATGTACACATATGTTTATAAGTAAAGAAATGCTATGCATTAAAAAATGTTTTAGGTTTGCTTAGTGCTTTGGTTTGTAAAAGGTAAGCACAAAAACTAAGCAGCTAGACTGGGATTTAAATCCAGGAGCATATTGTTGCAATGTTTTTCCATCATACCATAACGTTTTCGACATTTCCTTCCCAGCATTAACATTTGTCACAATAATTGACCACTCAAGGGACACATTACTTACCTTATTGAATATTTTAGGCTTTTAGACCTTAATGCAATTGTTGGTTTACTGTTTTTCTTTAGCTTGAGTGGTTATTAGTATGGTGGCACTATTCAAACAAATTAAGTCAAGGGAATTTGGTTTCAGGAAGAAGGTGATGTGGTAAAATTTAAGCATATAATTACAAATTCGATATGGTGATAAAATAAGTTATTACTATATATTACATATGTAACATTAATATACATATACAACAGGTTACATATGTGATATATATTACATTAGATATGTATATATGTACATGATATATAATTCCATTATACACGTATATATATATATATATACACACATATATACATGTTATATGTATGTGTGTGTATATATATACATATATATATGGAAGCTAAAAATGCCAATAACACACATTCTCTTTCAAAGTCTCCAAAACAGACACAGTTCTGCTAACACCTTAATTTTAGCCCACAGAGATTAATTCTGAACTTCTGACCTCCAGAACAGTAATGTAATAAATTTGTGTTGTTTGAAGCCATTAAATTTCTGCTAATTTCTTAGGAGTATCATAGGACATTAATACACCTACATTTCTACTGCACATATACATATATGGAGTTATACATAATGGGATGAATATATAATGCAATTTTATGAACATATCACCATATTTTATATATAATAGCACATATAGACAGCATAGTTGACTCCTACTTTTTATAAGTAGCAAAACAGCAGAAATGAAAGGTAATATAGGAAATAATCATATACATACTATACATTATATATATAAAATGATTACAATATACCTCTGTATAATGTATATATACATAACTTTTTTCTAGTCATAAGCTAAATGATTACCCGTATCTTAAAAGACAACCAGACTAAATGGATGATTGGTTTTGAAAATTATTAAACTAAAAACATGTTTAATTCCTATTGGTAATGGTGAAAATAGAAAATTCATTCTAAAAACACTGAGAAAACTCCTATTCTTTTCCTAGAAGGAATAAGCAAATCGCCATCCTTTGTAAAAGACTCATGTCTTTTCATCTTCTCACTAACTTTGAAAGATGCTGAAGGTCAAATGCTTATGTACCTTTACAGTTTACAGTGTATCGTTAGGGAAAAAACAAGTAAATAAAAATGAGGGTAGAAAGTAAAATCTTGAATTACCTGAATTTTTCGGAGTTTATTCATTTGCTCCTCTAGCTTTTGACAATGCTCAACCAGCTGGGAGGAGAGCTTCTTCCAGCGTCCCTCAATTTCTTCAAATTCTGATTGATATTTCCGGCTAATTTCAGAGGGCGCTTTCTTCGACATCTCTTTCACAGTGGTGCTGAGATAGTATAGGCCACTTTGTTGCTCTTGCAGAGAACTTTGTAAAGCCTAAAAAACAATTTTTTAAATACATTTACCCTAATTGATGAATAATAATTGATGAGTTTTAGTGAAATTAACTGTACTTGAAATCTATATGATTCAAACATGTAAACAAAGTAGATGATCTTCTATCAGTTATAAACTTCTAGTGGTAATTTAAATTTTACATATTATCCTAAGAGTAACTTGAATATTATTTAGTGGTATTTAACACTCCATATGTATTTTTCTGAACAATGTCAAATATATCTCAAAACTATATCTTACAGAGCCAAAAAGTTTTGGTGCATCTAATTTTACTGAATTAAGTATATATATTAATAACTGCATTTGTGATACAGTTAATGGAGTTGAAATTAATTATACTGAGCTTTCAGGAAAGTAAACTCTACATAAAACTATAGCTAATAATATTGATATATGGAATAGAAAAACTTATTGAACAATCTATGTACTTAATATATTTTCAAAAAATGTTATTCTGTTATGTAGTATTATGGTGGGATTCAAGGATAGTTTTGTGGAGAATTTATAAAATTTATTTATACTTATTCTGTATAACACATGTAATTTCTTACAGTAGGATCATAACTTTAGACTTCCCCTGTTCAATATTTACTTTAATGTTACTTTTACTTTATAAAATAATAAAGGCTCATGACAAAAATGGAAAAAAAAACCAGAACTACTAGTACTTTATATAAATTTTCAATTTGTTCTATGTATAGCTAAATATTAAATATATGATCATGTATGCACATATAAACAGTTATTCTTTCCCCTATAATGTGACCTATATCAACCCAAAATTTGTCAAATATCTAAGTTTTATAGTTTCATAGTATCCTATGCCTATTTGGTGGTACTTAATTTGTTTTTTTACTTTACTTTTTTAAGTTTATTTCACTTTTTCAAATTGTTCCCCTATGACTGATTATTTAGACAATATCTAGCATATAACTACACTTTGAGCTAGGTGTTTTAGTGTGAGCATTTGCCCATGTCAAATAATTATTTTTTCAAAAACAAAAATTGTAATGGCTTTTCTAGTTCAACAATTTCCATTATTAGTTCTACACATTCATTTCTAGTTTTCCACTCCTGTAAATTATGTTTATCTCTATCTACCTACCTATCTAATCCATCCATCCATCCCTCAATCAATCAATATCCTATCTATCTCCAGTTCCATTTACATCTTTGAGTGTATTCTGATTATTTCCATCAGATACAGATTTCATGGAAATTATATTAATGTTGTATGTTATTAGGATGCACTGAAGAGTTAACCTCAGTAAAATTCATATTGAATTTACATTTCCAGCAGTAAGAGACAATTTTTATTTCACCACTTGCAAATTGGTACTTATATCTTTTGTGTGTATGCAATTTAGTATGCAAAAAAAATTCTCATCTTGTAATTTTTTTACTTCTTCCTTTACAATTTAAGTTACAATTATTCATAGGTTTATTATTCATATATGTCTCTTTTTGGAGGATACCTTACTCAAGACTTTCTTCCTTACTCACAGAAAAAAAAAGATTCCTTGGTATCATATTTCTTTAAAATTGTCTCTGGTGTTTTTACAATGTTTGTGATTGTTTCCATCGATTTTTATGCTTCTCCACCTAAATTTTTATAACATTATTATTTTAAATATTTTCCAAAATTTGGGCTTCCCCACATTTTTTGAACATTTTATTGTATGTGGTTTTTATTTTGGTGTAACTTTGGGGGAAATGTTCATATCTTTTTTTTTAGTTAGTTAATACATTTCCCAATAATATTTATGAACAATTATTTTCTTTCCTATCTTTTTCAGTGGAAATAGTCTCTTCTGCTCATCTAACTGCCTTTTCTTGTGTTTTCTCCACTCTTATTCTTGCACATTTTTATTCTTATGTTTAAAAGTTTACTAGTTCTATTAGGCAACACATTTTTCCAGATAGACTTTGGAATCATTATGCCAAGCATTAAAAACCACAACAAAAGGAAACAAAAAAGGTGAAACAGCTACCATTTGGTATTGTAGTAGAATAAATATCTAAATAGGACAATACATAATGAAAGTTGTTTAAATGTATTTTTCTTTGAATACATTACTTCAAAAAAATATTTAATTATCCAAAAAAAATTCTATGTGATAAAGTTTAAATTTGAATTTTTAAACATTTTTCTTAAAATGCACATATTATCTCAGCTTCTAAATATAACTAATACGTTTTCATGTCTTCAGAAATAAAAAGTTATTGAACATATAATGTAGTATTTTATAATAAGTAGGAAAAGGGCTGGGCGCAGTGGCTCACACCTGTAATCCCAGCACTTTGGGAGGCTGAGGCAGGCAGATCATCTGAGGTCAGGAGTTTGAGACCAGCATGGCCAAGATGGTGAAACCCCATCTTTACTTTAAAAATACAAAAATTAGCCAGGCGTGATGGCACGCACTATAATCCCAGCTACTCAGGAGGCTAAGGCAGGAGAATCACTTGAACCCGGGAGGCGTAGGTTGCAGTGAGCCGAGATAGCACTGCTGCACTCCAGCCTGGGCAACAAGAATGAAACTCCGTCTAAAAATAAAATAAAGTAGGAAAAGTATTATAAAATCTCTTACAAATTATTTCTTTCATTTCCCATATTAGTATATCTTTCCTGATAGAAGGATGTTAAAAAAATGTAGCTATTAGAATTCAAATGTCTCATTACATTACAGAAAATTAATGTTTAAATTTAAACCAATTTTATAAATATAGCCAGCCCTCCATATTTGTGGATTCTGAATGAGTGGATTCAGTCAACTACTAATAGATAATATTTGACAAAAATAACTACATCTGTACTAAACATGTAAGACTTTTTCATTGTCACTACTTCCTAAATAATACAGTATAACACATATTTTCATAATATTTACATTGTATTAGGCATTATAAGTAATCCAGAGATGAGTTAAAGTATATGGGAGCATGTTCATAAGTTATATGCAAATATTACACCATTCATATAAAGGACTTGAACATCTGTGAATTCTGATATTCATAGGAGTTCCTGGAACCACTTCCCCATGGATACGAAGGGATGACTGTACACTGATTTTACCCACCAGTTTGAGAATGTGACAGGAGTTACAAATAAAGAAGCAAAGGTGGGGAATAAAACAATGGTTTTTCTAATAATCAAAATCAATACATCTGAAAATGCATGCTAAATTAAAAATATACTTCATAAATAGATCATACAATTGTTTTCAAAAACAGCATGTATATATGCCCATACATATATATCCATAGATAGAGTATATGCATAAATAATACTGTAAAGTCTCATTTTCATTTGCTCAATGGGCAAACTACCATACTTGTCAGAATGACTTAAATTCTAATATTATTTAAAGGTTATATCAATGTGAATGCTTGATAAGCGTGCTTTATTGTTTTGACATTCAAATATTCACAGACCTGCAATTCCCCGAGTCTCTGCTCCATGATTTCATAGTCGGTGACACTAAGTTGAGGTATGGAGAGTTTGGTTTCTGACTGCTGGACCCATGTCCTGATGGCACTCATGGTCTCCTGATAGCGCATTGGTGGCAAAGTGTCAAAAACTTTATCAAAAGGGAAAAAAGAATGAGAATCACTTAATTGTTTCACACTTTGCCATGTTTTCCTAAATTGTCAGCAAACTCAATTATATTACTAGTTTCAAATATTAACAAAATTAGAAAATCTGAAAAATATATTTAATATGATTATGAAGATACATTCCTGCTACATGTGTAATATGCCAGGGACCTTACACATATTACATTAAATTCACAAATCAGCCTGTAAAATCTATATTGTTCAATTCGTTTTATAAGGTCAGGAAACAGAAAAACAGATAAGGGCAGGAAACAGAAAAACAGAGAAGCTAAGTAAATTGCCCAAGGTGATACAGATGGTATTTGCAGAAACCGAGCAGGGTCCAATTGTATCTGATACTGAAAGGCTACTCTCTCTCAGTGTTATCATTTGCCTTGGAAAAAAAATAGTATCATTATCCGAAGACCTTGATTTTTAAATTATATCATGTCATGTCTAATTTTACTGAAAGAACACCCATGTACGCATGCTTAGTATATGTATCAAGAACTCTAGTAATAACCCCATAAATATTATCATTCTTAATTCTTATAATAAACCTGTGAGACATATACATTGTTAATCCCAATTGCAATTGAGAAAACAGGCTATTAAAGAGGCATATGTGTATGTATATACTTTTATATGTATAATTATATTAGGGAAAGTATTATATAGAGATATACAGTATGTATATACAAACAAGTTTATACGTTTTAAAGTATGTATGTGTATATGTATATATATGAAATGTGACTTAAGCAGCCACATGGACTATATTGAAAGAGATTAGACACAAGATTGAGAACGCTGCAGAGAACTGTAAACCATAAAAAGGACATAACATATTTTAGGGATAATCCAAAAGAAATTCTAGAATTAAAAATACAGTAAGTGAAAAATAAGAATTAAGTGCATGGGTTTAACAGCAAATTTGACAGGGGTAAATAGAAAATTACTAAATCTTAAGATTCAGAAGGAAATACCTGGAATGAAGCATGGAGACACAAAAAGATAGAGAACACAGTAAAACGGTCTAATATATATGCATCCCAGAATGTGGCAGAAGCCATATTTAAACAGATAATGGCTAATAATGTTTCTAAATACATGAAATCACACTGCAAAGTCCTGGTTTATATCACCACATCAAATAACATTATCTAAATCATATTATTTTAATTGCTGGGATATGAATGTCATTTCAATATACCAATTCCTTCTACACTAAATGAGAAGAATATAGGAAAGTATTTTGCATGTATTTAATGTAGTATTCAGATGGTTGCGATAATCTTAGAGAGTGTGTTGGCAATGGATGCTGAAATGTTAGAAATGGATAATTTTTTTCAATATGTTTATATTGCATTTATTTGGGAACTCATAAAAATGTTAAGAGATTATATTTAATCTGAGCACTTCTGATTTCTTATTAAAAGATATTTGTAGTACTTAAAATCTGTTTTAATTTACATAAATAATATGTTTCTCTATTAACCTGATGCATTTATTTTTTATTTTTCCATAAGTTATTGGGGGTAAAGGTGGTATTTGGTTACATGAGTAAGTTCTTTAGTGGTGATTTGTGAGATTTTGGTGCACCCATCACCTAAGCAGTATACACTGTACCCTATTTGTAGTCTTTTCTCTCTCCCCCCAACCTTCCCCACAAGTTCCCAAAGTCCATTATATCATTCTAATGCCTGTGTGTCCTCATAGATTATCTCCCACATATCAGTGAGAACATACAATGTTTGGTTTTCCATTCCTGAGTTACTTCACTTAGAATAATAGTCTCCAATCTCATTCAGGTCACTGCAAATGCTGTTAATTCATTCATTTTTATGACTGAGTAGTATTCCATCATATATACATACATACATACACACACACACACACACACACACACACTCACCACAGTTTCTTTAACCACTCATTCAGTGATGGGCATTTGGATTGGTTCCACGATTGTGCTGGTGTGAACTGTGCTGCTATAAACATGCATGTGCAAGTATCTTTTTTGAATAATGACTTTTTTTCCTCTGGGTAGATACCCAGTAATGGGATTGCTGGATCGAGTGGTAGTTCTACTTTTAGTTAAGGAATCTCCACACTCTTTTCCATAGTGGCTGTACTTGTTTAAATCCCCATCAGCAGTGTAGAAGTGTTACCTGATCACCACATCCACGCAAACATGTACTTTTTAAAATTTTTTTGATTATGGTCATTCTTGCAAGAGTAAGGTGGTATCACATGGTGGTTTTGATTTGCATTTCCCTGATCATTCATAATGTTAGCATTTTTTCATAAGTTTGTTGACCATTTGTATATCTCCTTTTGAGAACTGTCTATTCATGTCCTTAGCCCACTTTTTGATGGGATTGTATTTTTCTTACTGATTTGAGTTTGTTGTAGATTCTGGATATTAGTCCTTTGTCAGATGTATAGATTGTGAAGATTTTATCCCACTCCATGGGTTGCCTGTTTGCTGTGCTGATTGTTCCTTTTGCTGTGCAAAAGCTTTTTAATTTAAATTAGGTACCAGCTATTTATCTTTGTTTTTATTACATTTGCTTTTGGGTTCCTGGTCATGAAATCCTTGCCTAAGCCAATGTCTAGAAAGTTTTTTCCAATGTTATCTTCTAGAATTTTTATAGTTTCAGGTCTTAGGTTTAAGTCTTTAAACCATCTTTAGTTGGTTTTTGTATAATGTGAGAGATGAGGAGCCAATTTCAGTCTCCCACATGTGGCTAGCCAATTATCCCAGCACCATTTGATGAAAAGGGTGTCCTTTCTTTACTGTATGTTTTTGTTTGCTTTGTTGAAGATCAGTTTGTGTAAGTATTTTGGTTTATTTCTGGGTTCTCTATTCTGTTCTGTTGGTCTATGTGCCTATATTTATACCAGTACCATGCTGTTTTGGTGACTATGGCCTTATAGTATAGTTTGAAATCAGGTAGTGTGATGCCTCCAGATTTGTTCTTTTTGCTTAGTCTTGCTTTGGCTGTGCAGGCTCCTTTTTGGTTCCATATTAATTTTAGAATTTTTTTTCTAATTCTGTGAAGAATGATGCTGTTATTTTGATGGGGATTGCACTGAATTTGTAGATTGCCTTTGGCAGTATGGTCATTTTCACAATACTGATTGTACCCATCCACGACTATGGGATGTGTTTTCATTTGTTTGTGTCATCTATGATTTCTTTCAGCAGTGTTTGGTAGTTTTCCTTGGAGAGGTCTTTCGACTCCTTGGTTAGGTATATTCCTAAGTTTTTTGTTGTTGTTGTTGTTATTTTATTTTATTTTTTGCAGCTATTGTAAAAGGGGTTGAGTTCTTAATTTGATTCTCTGCTTGGTCGTTGTTGGTATACAGAAGAGCTACTGATTTTTGTACATTAATCTTGTATCTGGAAATGTTGCTGAATTATTTTATCAGTTCTAGAAACTTTCTGGAGGAATCCTTAGGGTTTTGAAGGTAAATGATCATATAGTCGGCAAACACTGACAGTTTGACTTCCTCTTTACCGATTTGGATGCCCTTTATTTCTTTCTCTTGTCTGACTGCTCTGGCTAGGACTTCTAGTACTATGCTGAAGAGGAGTGGCAAGAGTGGCATATGCATTTATTTGAATTCTAGATGATTATTAATAAACAAAATCCAAAAGGGACCTTATAAATAGCAGTGAAGTAAAGAGGTATTTAGTTACAATGAAGCAAATGATTGTGTCTGAGATGTCATTTCAGCAAATGATCTAGAAGGAGAGGGGACTATGGGCAGACACATGGCGGTATGTTGGATGAATCATAAGCTTCATAAAATTTGGTTTAATTGAACTTGAACATGTCTCCTCTTTAACTTCTTTCTGGTCTTTCTGTTTAATGAAAACTGAAACACTTCAGTCTCTGAATTATTGATCTTTTTCTGTATAACTTCTGATCTGTCCAACAACTGAATCTCACAGGAATCACTTCATATTGGTAAACTATAATTAAAACATGCATATTTTAATTCCTCCTTGCATTCCAACCCTCATCCTAGTTTTGTATTAAATTCATTTGAAACTGGTCATTTCAAAAAATCTAATCTCTTGGAAATTCTTTTGTAGCTTTAAGAAATAAACTTCCAAAGATTGGTTTGGGAACTTGTCCATCTAATATAGTTTGTGAGGCAAGCTGGAAAAAAAAATACACACCTACTAACATAAATATCACAATTTCTTTTTCTGATTTTCTTATGTGGAATGTAATGACACTATGTAATGACAGCAGTAATTGCTATCAAGGTTCAGGAAATGCTTGACAAATTTGCAACGGTATAGAGTATCTCATTTAAACCATGCAGGCCAGGGAATGCCAGTGAAGAATTCTAAATCTGTTTCAGATAAGAAGAAAGAAAAAGTCTTATACAGAAGCTAATGTACCCAAGGGCAAACACAGTATGAGCTGCCCCACCTACTAGCTGGTGAGATATCTGTAGATGCTGCCCTTGTGATCCCAACATAGGAGCAGAAATAGACCAGCTCCATCTACGGAAACTCACTTTTTTTCCTTTTATGTAGAAATAGAGATTAATAATCCAACAGATAAGTTTATCTTTACTGACAGCAATAAGACAATAAACATATCCAATCTAATAACCTACCATCTTAAAAGACCTCGAGAGTTCTACTGACATCATTAGACTCAGCACAGACTCAGGAAAAATATGGCCTGAAGATTTAACGTTTAGCCAATATATTGCTTATAAATATGTAACTTTTTTCTCTAAAGAAAGTATTCCTATGACAGTTTCTACTATTCGGCTGCTAAAGGACCACTTTAAAAATGCAGATATCTTTTTGGTTTTATTAGTGAAATATATTCAACAAAATGAAAATCAATATAAGTGATTGCAAGCTTGGAAGCACGTGCTGTAAATTATTGGGAAAATAAAAATTAAGGGCTCCTATCCTGCACTACTGTTTATCTTGAAAAGTAAAAAAAAAAATTCCATTAATATCTAGACATTTAATATAGCCATGTGAGGGATGGAAGTGATAAAGTATAGGCAAACTGACATCTAAAATTATAGTAAAGGAATACAAAAAAGAAGTTTTCTGCACCTTTTGTTTAAAAACTGCTTGTCTTTAACTCTTAAAAGAGGGAGGGGCTAAAGGGAAAAGAAGAGAGAAAAAAGGAGAGCAAAGGACAGACCAAGAGAGGCAAAGCAAGATTCTTTTGTGATAACAAAAGAGCTAAGTATGAAATTAGATGCTACATTTTCTAATACACATGAGTCTATGTCAAGGGCAAACCACTTTAACTGGAAAGCAAAGTAAACAGAGAAGTATATTGAAAATTCTGAGAGACATAACTATCGAGATAAAGAGATACCAGAGCAATCGGTTATATATAACACTTTACTGAAAAAAAAAATCTCTCCTCTTGAAAAATAGAACTACTCAGAAAATAGGCACTTAAGCATCAGAGAATGTACAATAGAGAGAAGGAAGACGTAACTGTGCCAACCAATAAGGTAGCAACTGGCTACCCGTCCGTTAAGCACTTGAAACGTGGCCAGTTTGAGTTGAGATGTTTTGTATATATAAAGACACACCAGATATTGGACAGTTCATACAAAAAGAATGTAAAGCTATTTCCACATTTTAAAATTTTAATTCTAAGATGAAACAATATTTTCAAATGACTTTTACCTGTTGATCTGTTAATGTGGTTTCTAGAACATTTAAAATTAAATATATGGCTCACATTATTTTTCTGTTGGATAGTGCTTAGATAGAAGCTGGAAAAGGCACCCATGTAATCCATTTAGGGGGAGAAAGAGATGATATGTTAGTAGTCTTAATATTGACAGCATTTAAAAACATTAGAAGTCCTGTTGTGAATATGAAATCGAGTCCAATTTGAATTCCCCATTATTACCTGTGGGGAAAAAAATGCACTGCACATGTGTGAAGAAGCTGAACTAATGACATATACCTACTTCGGCAAAATGCTCAACTTGAGCCTTTAATTCCATGCCAACCAGATCCCACCTTTTTCCTCATTCCCCATGATCAATCTAAAGTCAAGGAGATAATGCAATCAGCAAAGGCTCCAAACTTTATTAAATAACATAGACCATGACAAAAGTAAGCATTTCTCTAAAATGTGAACACTGACAAAGGTGTCAAGAAATACAACAGGACCCATGCATGATATATGATGATTAACATACTAGGAATGGTCCTTCAGATAATTACAAGTGCAAGGAAGTCTGAGTATAACTTGAATTTCTAATGTCAATATATAAGTTGTTTCCTTAGTTTGAAATACAAGGATCTTTGTGATTGGGAATTCAATCAACATTTTAGCCCAATTTCCTATCAAAATCAATATTCTATCCTCCAGTCAAAATATGCCTTTTAATTACTTCACGCCTTTTTGCTTATGCAACTTGCTCTGCTGAAAGTCGCTGCTGCTCAGGCTCCATTCTCACAAAGGGCACTTGGTGTGGTCTGACATGAGTGAAATAGATGGGTTTATAGGAATTTTATCTAAGATCACCATAGAATTTGTTTTATAAGTCATAAAACTCCAATGAACCAACTGAAATTGGGGTCATTTTCATAAATACTGCTCTATTATTCACCTCCTGGACAACTGATTTATTTTCCAGGTAAGTCTCATTTTTCTGACCAACTTTGTGTAAGTATAAACTACCACACTACAGAAATATTTATTAGAATTTAAGAGTTTTTTTCTTTTGCTGAATTTTCCCTTTTTCTAAAAGCAGCTCTATCCACTTAGCAATCCTATTTTCAAAATATCATGTTAAACTATTTCATATTTAACTAACAAATAATAATTATGTGTATTTATGGGGTATCATGTGATGTTTTGATCTATGTATGCATTGTAAAATATTCACTCAGGTTAATTAACATATTAATCACCTCACCAACTTATCTTTTTTTGTGATGCGGATATTAAAATCTATTCTTTTACCAATTTTGAAACATAGATTTTTATTAACTGTGTCCACCACGCAGTACTAGAGATCGCTACAATTTATTCCTCCAGTCTAACTGAAACTTTCTATCATTTGATCAACACCTTCCCTTTCCCAACCTTCCTCTTCCCCCCAGTCTCTGGTAACTACCTTTCTATTTTCTGTTTCTATAATTTGACTTTTTTTTGGATTTCTCATATAAGTGAGATCATACAGTATTTGTCTTTCTTTGCCTGGCTCATTTCAGCTAGCCTAATGTCCGCCAGTTCTATCTACATGGTGGCAAATGACAGAAATTCCTTCCTTTTAAAGACTGTATAGTATTCCATTGCATATATATATCATATATAGACACTGGAATATATTTATCACTATATATATATGTCACTATATATATCAGTATATATATCTCTATATATCAGTATATATAAATCACTATATATATCTACCACTATGCATATATCACTATATATATCACATTTTCTTTATCCATTCGTCCTGTAATAGACATTTAGGTTGTTTCCGTATCTTGGCTGTTATGAATAATGCTCAAATGGATATGGCATGGGCAACAAAAGCAAAAATAGACAAATTAGATTGCATCAAACTAAAAAGCTCCTGCACAGGAAAGGAAACTATTAACAGAGTGAAGAGGCAGCTCACAGATCAAGAGAAAATATTTGCAAACCAAATATCTGGTAAGGAGTTAATATCCAAAATATATAGAAACCTCAAAAAACTCAACAGCAAGAAAACAAATAACCTGATTTAAAAATGGGCAAGGGATATGAACAGACATTTCTCGCAATAAGAGGCACCAATGGCCAACAGATATGTGAAAAAATGCTCAACATCTCTAAACATCAGAAAAATGTGAAAACCACAATGATGTGTCACCTTACACATGTTAAAATTAGAACGGCTACTTTCAAAATGATGAAAGATAAATGTTGGAGAGGCTGTGGAGAAAAGTACACTTACACATTGTTGGTGGGAATGTAAATTAGTACAGCCATTTTGGAAAATAGTATGAGGTTCCTGTCACATAAATTTTATAAATGTGTGTGTGTGTGTGTGTGTGTGTGTATATGTCTACATGTGTATATACACAGTATGTGTCTATGTGTGTACATACACAGTATGTGTCTACGTGTGTACATACACAGTATGTGTCTACGTGTTTATATACACAGAATGTGTCTACGTGTGTATATACACAGTATGTGTCTACGTGTGTATATACACAATATTTGCCTACGTGAGTATTTACACAGTATGTGTCTGTGTGTGTACATACACAGTATGTGTATATATGTACATACGTATATGCACACACAACTTGTGTACATATACGTATATGTACACACAGCGTGTGTATATATATATGTATAGCTTTAACTTGGCATTTAGCGAGTTTTCCCATGATTCTTGAGGTCAGGGAACAATTCTTTTATCTCACAATAAGCACATAGCTTGCTTAAATAAACATGTCTGCTATGCTTGCTCTTGATGGTATTGATAAAAATAACACAATTTTTAAAAGGAACATTTACAAACAGTTTACCTAGTTTCTGGAGTGAAGGAGCAATGCAACAGATTATGTGTCTACTGGAACAAAACATTCCTTTGCCTAGATGTATTAAAAATAAAATTTTAAAATAAAAAATTTAAAATTTTAATAAAGTAAATTAGGTCAATTTCCTGAACTGCAGCTAGAAGAGTTACCTCACATCAAACTTTGTTTTAATTCCCAGTCTCAGCATCCTAACAGGGAGGGGTAGAGACTAACCATAGAGCTTGAAATTGTGGCCATGGAGAGCATCCTTGCTGGCTACCCTTAAAATTTTCTTCTACTGTCTCTGTAAGAGGTAAAAGTTATTTTCTTTCAATTCTGGCAAGAATATCTTCTGTGCTACACCTCCCCAGATCATCACCTCTTCAAGGGTTGAAATGATTTTTCTTTATCTTATCACAACTGTAGTTTAAGGTTCAATGGACTCTCCTCTGTGTGGCTATTCTTTCCACAAGTCTTCCTGCTTCTCCTCAGACTTGTATTGCATTTCTTCTTCACATACCAGCTAGAGGGTGAGTTTTGAAAAAATACAACTAAGGGTACTTAATTTCCTCAATTGAAATTCTTTCGGAAATGTCTACTGCTCTTAAAATCCAAACCTGTTATAGAAGTTCTATAAGAGCAATTCTACCCTCATCTTGTCCTAATCTTTCATTGATTTGTTACATTCCAGCCTTTCTGGCCTCCCTTATGTCTTCTGGACATGCCAAGCCCTCATTCTTCACCTTTGGCAATTTGTGTTTCTTTTCATTTCTCCTAATGTCCTTTCTCCAACTTATCATATAGCTGGCACCTGCACATTCTCCAGGTTTGGTTCTAACATCATCTCCCCAGAATCACGGTTTCAGACGCCAAAGTAATTATAATCTGCAATAATATTCAGATATTCAATTTTATTATCTTTCTTTCAATAAGCTCCATGAAGACATATTGCTCTTGATTTTCTCCACCATGTATATTACCTAGTGCCCAGCACTTTTACGGCATATACCAGGTGTTCAAAAATATTTCTTGAATTTATTAGTGAAAAAGTGAGCAAGACTCTGTTCTGAAAGCAATCTAATGGTGTAGAACAGAAGAGAATCATTTTGAAACTTTAGAACAGTCAAAACACTGGCTTTGTCATAACTAATAATGTCACTTTCTCCATTTTTGCAAAACTAAACCAAACCAATAAAATCCCTAATAATTATTTTAACATGATTTCCAAATTGTTAATGAAATAAACTCAAATTATATGACCAATCTTTTTCCTTCTTTACATTAAGAAATAAGGTTTCATTTTTTTCTTTGTTGAAACAATTATCTACAACAGACTAGATGCTGTGTTTCTATATTCATCTAGCATATAACATGAGTTTACTGGTTTTCAGTCTCTAGAAAAGTATTTTATCAACTGTCATGGGAAACAATTCCACCCCCTCATCCTCCCAGACCTAGGCAACCACTAATCTTATTTCTGCCTGTACAGATTTGCCTATTGTGGCCATTTTATATCAAGAGACTCATATAACATATGATCTTTTGTGACTGGCTTCTTTCACTCAGCATAATGTCTTCAAGGGTACTCCATGCTGTAGCATGTATCAGTACTTTCTCCCTTTTTATTGCTCAGTAACACTGCCTTGTATGGATGTGCCCATTTTCTTCATATAGTCATCACTGGATGGACATGTGGGTTTCTTCTACGTTTTGGCTATTATGAATAATGTTGTTATGGACATTCGTGTATACGATCTAGTTCTTACAGCATCCCATATCCATGCTTTTAGTTATTCAAACCCCATTAGCTTACTTGTGATATAGTTGTAATAACAAATACTCAATGTGTTTCTCTCTGAGGGTTAGGTAAAATGATGTATAAATTAGTTATGCATAGAGTAAAAAGTGCTTTGAAAATAGAATTTTATCTTTTTATATTATTTTCTTCTATCACTTATGTCAGGTAACAACTACCAATTCCTTATGCCATTTTCCAACACTGATAGTATATTTTAAAAGCCAGGTTTTTGTGTGAAAAAGCAAGTTTAAAAAAGTAAAGAGGAAATAAAAGTCAGTATGGATGCCTAGGCACTTCTGTTAGCTCTTATTTCCTGCATACTTAATACGTCCAAAGTACTGTGGAGGAATACAAGAAATGAGATTTACTCCCTGGTGCCAGTTCGGATATAATGCATACACATGTGCAATTATTTGAATTAATTTCAAATTAACAAAATCAACTGCTATGTAATTTCATATGCTACATTTTTCATTCCATATATATATATATATATACACCATATTTAATTAAAGGGTTATTTATTAATCTAGACAAGCATTCCAAAAGGGTGAATAGTAAAATTAAAGATGTGTAGCTACAGTGGAAGTGGGGACAATTTGTTTACATATAATAGCAGTGAAAAAGTTAGGAAGTTTTATAAACAATCATCGTTTGTAGGTATGAAATTTAAAAAAGAGAAGAAAGATGATAGGGATGGATGGATGGATGGAGAGCTGTATGAATAGAGACTATATATTATTACGTATTTATATTGTAACATCATAGACAAATCTCAGTTATCAAACATTGCTATTCTGAACATCTTTAAAGTAAATGATAAAAAGTTGAACTTTAATATGATTAAGAGGTATATACAGATTAAAGTAAATTTCCAGTGAAATGGCTCCTTTGCACAACAATTGCTGCATAGCCACTAAATGTATTTAACTTTAAGGGGGAGTTATGTATGTAATGACAAGTGAAAATACATTATTGTTAAATATGTCAATATTTGAAAATCTAGGACATTTAAAATATTTTCCCAAATTGATTTTGCAGAGGCACAGTAACAAGTATACTGAAATCCACTAGAGGGAGCTGATACTATTTATAAAGTTTTACTACCTGTACAGGAAAATAAACCCCTTAGCAAAAACGACTCTGAAGTACAAAAAAAAAAAAAAAAAAAAAAAGTATTTATCCTTTGCTTTATTTAGCTCATTTCATTTTTGTAAAAAATGAAAAGCTGGGAAATGAGAAAAGCGTTGTGTATCACTACATTAATTCTGGAAATGATATTATATGGTGAATTCTTTAAATATTTACAAAGAAAAGCAATAGGATAATATATTTTCCAACTAATTTAAGTTTTAGTAGTAAACAAACACATGTTCCTGTGCTTCTCATGACAAATTTGGGACAGAGATTTTTTCAGAAAAATACTTTTATCTTAATGCCTTCAAACCCGATTTTACTCAATAATTCCTTTTGTGTGCACATGAACACATATATGCATGTATATAGTGAATCAAAACCCCATTTACTATTTCTTAAAGGTGGTCATTCATCTGTCTCTGAAAAGAATTTTTGTCTTAAAACTAAGTTGATGAGTAGAGATATTTTGGAGCAGATACTATGTATTAACATCATCTTATTAAAGCAATTCAGGAAGAGACAAAAGAAACATCTTGAAAAATTTGCTAGTCGCATGGCATGAATTTGCATAATTGCTCCACTTTTATCTTTTATCATCAAAGGAAAAAATAGGATTTATGTAATTATAGTGATCCAGTAGTAAAATGTAGCCCAAAGAATAATTTGTCCTTTGCTGAGTTTCAGTTGCCACATGTATGCTAAAGCTATAATACTCTTCAGATAAATTGACAGAAATATTAGAAGATGCCTAGCAAATATCCTTGTATATACAGCGAGCCAGACTTAATTGAAGTGTATTCATATGACCTCAACTGCTCTTTTATTTTCTTCTATATTCAAAACATCTGATTTTGAAATCTACAATCCCCCAAGGAGAAGCTATTCCCATACAAAACATGTTTTGTTTCTCAAAGTCACAAAATTATTATGAGGACAAAAAAATCTACAGACAGCTTATCTGTTACACCAGTATTTCGTTCCTTGTTAATACAGGTTGTAGGGAGAATGGTTCCATTTACAGAAATTATTGTTTCATGTTAGTACCTTCTGGATTTCCCCACAAATAACCATTTTGGAAAATGTCAAGTTAGCCATTTTAGGCTTTTTACTTACTTGTCTGTAGCTCTTTCTCTCTGGCCTGCACATCAGAAAAGACTTGCTTAAAATGATTTGTAAAGGCCACAAAGTCTGCATCCAGGAACATGGGTCCTTGTCCTTTCTCTTTCAGGGCTATGCTTTGAATTTTTAATCGTTCAATTTGAGGTTGAAGATCTGATAGCCGGTTGACTTCATCCTGTGCCATAGAGTATGGAAAGTAAGTAACACGTTTACTTTGCATACATTACATTTTGCAAAAGAAGGTATTAAAAAGCAGTAAGGCAAGTTTAGCTTAATACCCTTCACAAATATCTGATAAGAAACATCCATGACAGTATAGACAAGCCTCTATCACCAGCCATACATTTAAGGATACCTTGGCTCTTTGTTCAATATGTATCATCCTATATAATGATATTTAAATTTCAAGATGACATAATTTAGAGCATTAATGGGTATGAATGCGTACAGTGGAAAAATACTATGCATGACCTTAAATCCTTTCCATAAATCAAATATAGGTGTTTGGCTGCACCCCTCTTATATCAAAATGATGTGCGCTTGCTTCAAATTTTAAGCTCACTCAATGAACAATATTTTCTCTTTCATTTCTGCAAAATATAAATTACATATATACCTACATATATGTATATGTGTATACTATAATTATAAATATATTTTGATACAATTATATAGATTATATACACACATATAAAATCTATATAATACTTATACATATGTATGTACACACCCAAATATAAAAATATATCTATAATCTTCTATGTTTTGTATGGTCTCATTACTTCTCCTGACCAAACAGGCAACCACTGCTTTTTTTTTTTTTTTTTTTTTTTTTTGGGACAGAGTCTCGCTCTTGTTGCCCAGGCTGGAGTGCAATGACGCGATCTTGGCCAAATGCAACCTTCACATTCCAGGTTCAAGCGATTCTTCTGCCTCAGCCTCCTGAGTAGCTGGGATTACAGGTGCCCGCTACCGTGTCCAGCAAATTTTTTTTATTTTTAGTAGAGATGGAGTTTCACTGTTGGCCAGGCTGGTCTCAAACTGCTGACCTCATGATCCACCCACCTTGGCCTCCCAAAGTGCTGGGATTACAGGTGTGAGCCACCGCGCCCAGCCAATTGCCACTTTTTAAATTACGGTGGCTGTCCAGGTTTCCTCTTGTTGTCCTGGCATAATTATTAGTAGCACCCTGTTTCACTCTCAGTAGTACCCTGGTTTGTATGATAAAATCACATGAACACTGCTGTACTGTCACTAGCTCATGTGGCAACTGGGCACCTGAAATGTGGCTGGTCCAAATTTAGATGCATGAAATTACCAAAATATGTTTAATTCTGAAGATTAAGAAAAGCTAAGAACATAATCTCAAAGTTTTTAAATACTGATTACACTTTCAAATAATATTTTTGATGAATCAGGTTAAATAAAATGTACTATTGAAATTCAATTACCGTTTCTTTTTCCTTTCCTAATATAGTTTCTAGACCATTTTAAATTACATATGTGGCTTGAATTTGTGGCTAGCACTGTATTTCTTTTGGACAATGACTTTCTTCACAGAATTGGAAAAAACTACTTTAAAGTTCATATGGAACCAAAAAAGAGCCCGCATCGCCAAGTCAATCCTAAGCCAACAGGACAAAGCTGGAGGCATCACACTACCTGACTTCAAACTATACTACAAGGCTACAGTAACCAAAACAGCATGGTACTGGTACCAAAACAGAGATATAGATCAATGGAACAGAACAGAGCCCTCAGAAATAACGCCGCATACCTACAACTATCTGATCTTTGACAAACCTGACAAAAACAAGCAATGGGGAAAGGATTCCCTATTTAATAAATGGTGCTGGGAAAACTGGCTAGCCATATGTAGAAAGCTGAAACTGGATCCCTTCCTTACAACTTATACAAAAATCAATTCAAGATGGATTAAAGATTTAAACGTTAGACCTAAAACCATAAAAACCCTAGAAGAAAACCTAGGCAATACCATTCAGGGCATAGGCATGGGCAAGGACTTCATGTCCAAAACACCAAAAGCAATGGCAACAAAAGACAAATTGACAAATGGGATCTAATTAAACTAAAGAGCTTCTGCACAGCAAAAGAAACTACCATCAGAGTGAACAGGCAACCTACAAAATGGGAGAAAATTTTTGCAACCTACTCATCTGACAAAGGGCTAATATCCAGAATCTACAACGAACTCAAAAAAATTTACAAGAAAAAAACAAACAACCCCATCAAAAAGTGGGCGAAGGGCATGCTATTCTCTACATAAATGTTTTCATGTTCTTGTTTCCAGTGAAGTTGGAATTGTTTCGTATTTAATACATATATAATTTGAACTCAAAGTTTTCACTGCCCTTTTTAAAAGTGTTATTATCATGGCTGCTTACTTACAATTCATATATATGCTGTCTTTAGAAAAAAATACTTGAGGGTTAGTTACTATTTAATATGTAACAACAGGAAAATTGAAATTTAAAAATTGGAACATGAGCCCATTAGAAGAAAGAGAAAATGGAAAGAATTATACCAATTCTGAACGAATTGAAATCTGAGCTTCCTGAAAATCAAAGTGAAAAGGCAAAAAAAAAGTTAATATTTATGGAGGCATTCATACTCTTTGGGAGAGAGTAACTTTTGTATTAGGAGAGGCTGAGAAATTTATCACATAAATTCTGTCATGGTTGCAAGACTAATGTACAATGCCACTTATTCTCATTAAAAAAACATAAATACAGCTTTCAGAGGAATGTGTTTATGTGGTTATAATGGTATGAGCTGATTCAGGTAAAATAATCTCTGACGATTCAATCGTTTTGGTGGGTGAAGATTAAAGACGTTTAGCAAAATGGAAGGTGACCTATATTTCTCTTTCAAATATAAATCCTCTCAAACCAGTGCTAGAAAGTTGGTATATATCCATGGATAAGAAATAAGACAAGAGGTAAAGGGTAATATTCTGTATTTATAGTACAGAAATATATACAAATAATTTGTATGCTAGATTTACAAATGGCAGCATTGGCATCTACTGTGAACCATTAAGAACCTGATTTATATTTGGCCAGATGGAGGGCTGCCATTTTTCCCGTTCAGGGGGCTATAGAAAGAGCCAACATTATAGCCAAGTGTGCTCTGAAAAACAAAGGGGACTTTGAAACTAATAAAACATTTGGGCAAATGTTCAGTTGAGACCTTAATGTTCTGAGAATAAATCATAGAAGAGATACTTTTCAACTGAAGTATTCTGTGTTTAAAAAGATGTGAACAATTAGCCATTATTTCCATAAAAGGATTTGGTTTAGTTGGTCCTCCAGAGTATGGTATCTCCTTTGAGTCTGTTTATTCTTTAAAATTATATGCTTATCTCATGGAAGCTTTTGTATTTTTCACAGGAAAGGGTTCATGAATTTTTTCCAATTCTGATAAGGCTCTCTAACCCCCACAATATTAAAAACCAGTTCTGCCGATCATTAGAATATGAGCTAAATATGCGCTCTAATGTTATAAAACTTCTCCAAATAAAATAAAACGCTGAGAAACATGTTATAATTTATTTACCTATCACTAATCTCAGCAGAACAGTATATATATTTGCCCTTGTATGAATAATATTAAGCTTATCTTGCTAAATATTTTACCTAAAGTGATTCTTCAAATTAATAGACACCAATGGGTCTGAGAGAAAGAGTAAGGGGTGATAAGGAGGTGACAACGGAATTTGGATGCAGTAAGAGAAGTATTTTCCCTTAGGATGACTTCCTCAACCTCCAGACAATATTTAATATATAAAACCTCTGGTGATCTCCATTTGTTCCTCAAATCAAGACCAAGATACTAGCAGGTCCCAGAAGTCATTGGTTTGTCTCCTATATACCTGACTGATTCCTGTTTGTCTCTCCTCTCATTCATCTGCCCCTCTATGTTCAGCATTTACAATGGTCTTCATTCAGGTGCTTGGCCTTTATTGCTCCCTCTTGCCATGTTCCTTCTGCCTGGAATCTTGCTTAACTGTTCTCTTACCTAATTCTAACTTATCACAAAAGTCTCAACTCAAATGTTCCTCCCTCAAGGAAGATGCCCTTGGTGGCTGTATCAGGTTCGTTTTTCCCTGTTACTCATTCTCCCAAAGCTTTGCATCTTAGTTTAAACCACTGTTCCTAGCAGGAAATTTAAAAATATTGATTCCATTGTTTCATATCTCTCTTCTCTGCTTTCCGTAAATACAATAAAAGCAGAGTCCATGAATGCCCACTCTAATATTCCCAAAACTTAGTGCTATGGGCTGAATTGTGTCTTCCAAAATTCACATGTTGAAGTCCTAACCATTGGTGAGACTATTTGGTGATAGGACTTTTAAGAGGTAATGATGTTTATATGACGTCATCAGGGTTGGGTAAGGGTGGCGGGGTGGGGGGCTAATCCCTTAGGGATTGGTGGCTTTATAAAAGGAGGCAGAGATAAAGAGAGAGAGAAAGAAAAATAGCCCTCATTCTCTCTCTCTGCATGTATACACACAGAGGAAAGCCATGTGAGGACAGAGTGAGAAGTTGGTTATCTGCAAGCCAGGAAGACAGCCTTCACCAGAAGATGAAGCTGAACCCTACCAAACCTTGATCCTGGACTTTCTCTCACTTCTAGAACTCTCAGAAAATAAACCTGTGTTGTTTAAGCCACCGAGTCTGTGGTATTTATTGTGGCAGACTCAGCTGATTAATACACTCAGTAGCATTCTTAAACACATTAGAGACACTTAATGTATATATTTTATGCATGAATGTACTGTGTAGGTACTATTACTAACTACTATATCTGAATCTCAAGAATCGGATAAGGTAACATCAGATTTTTGTGGCAAGAAATAATGTATTTGGATTATTCCTCTGATTCACAGGAAAAGCGGCATTGGTTCTATTCTTAAATTACAAAATGCATCTCAATGTAGAAATTCCTTAGATGTGTGTATTTGCCTAACAAGTCAAGTGCCTTATCCAAGGTATTCTTTATCCAAAAGTATACTTTCTGAGTTTATTTCCTCAGCAAACTAACACAAGAACAGAAAACCTAATAATGCTACAGGTCCGATATTTGAAGAACCATTAAGTCCTTCAATTGTTTTTCTCTTCAAAATAGCTTTGAATTTCTCATCACTTTTTGGGTCCAATACCTTTTCTAAATCAACCTTGTCACCTTTCCATGTCTATTCTACCTTTATTTAAGCCATTCTTTTTTACAGTATGCAAATGAATCTCCACTCCTTGCCTTTTGTATTAAATGTAATCATCTCGATCTATCACTAAACGTTCATCCTGGAAACGTTTTAGTCCATCCTCTAATCAGTTTCTCATTCCCCGCGAAAAGCACATAGCTCATAGTAACAATGAAAACAGTTTAGGCTATTTTCATTATTATACAGCTCTTGTTTTCTTACACTTGAAGGCATAATCCTTTCATCTCTTTCTCAGGCCCTTTTGTCCACTTACATCTTGTTTGCCCCTCCAGATCCACTGTCCGCTCTTCTCCTGTTACCCAGGAGACTGATATTTACAGATGACGGTTCCTTGTCCTTTGTCTTACGATTAAGTTTAGTCAGTGAGGAGCCCTGACAAGATTCTGGAGGCAGGGAAAAAAGTGAAGTGGGGTGTTTATTTGTCTGACTCCATTTCTATGAGGATTCCTTAAGCCGGCCATGCTGCTTTTACCATGAGGATCTGACTGTCTCCTTCTGAGTTTCTATAACTGCTCTCTCACTGATCCTTTCTGGACTAAAAGGGGTAAGAACTCTGATGCTGGGTTACTACACTATCCGGTGTGGTTCCTCTGTACTCCAGCTACATTTTAAAAATATCTTTTTGTAAAGAAACCTTCCTCAAATTATCGTAATTTGAGAGGTCCATCAGTTTTAAATATTTTCCTTATGTATCTAGTTATACTGCATCCAAGCTTGTTGTTGACCCGTGTTTCTAACTATTTCCATGGATTCCACTTTTTCAAAATGACTATGTTTCACTCGTCACAAAGAAAGAGTTCCAAAGTGAGAGGCCATTTTTTACAGGATACATGTGGTTTCCACACTCCTAAACTGCCTCATGCTTACGCAAACCGACACAATCAATTAGCGCTGTGTAACTACGCCAAATACAATTTTAGAATCCGGGTATCTACGTCTTACATATTTAAACAGATTTCTGTTGCTTACATTTTGAACTTTATTGCGCTTAGCTAAATCCTTAGAAGGTGAACGTTTCATTACTAAATAATTTGTTACTGTCTTCTTGGAAATTGCCAAGAAATACCTATTGATTATGCTCCAAATGGAAGGAGAAGAGATTCTTACCTTACAAATTTTTAACTGACTTTTAATTGCTGTTGGCTCTGATGGGGTGGTGGGTTGGATTTTCAACCAGTTTTCAGCAGTAGTTGTCATCTGCTCCAATTGTTGTAGCTGATTATAGAAAGCGATGATGTTGTTCTGATACTCCAGCCAGTTAAGTCTCTCACTTAGCAACTGGCAGAATTCGATCCACCGGCTGTTCAGTTGTTCTGAGGCTTGTTTGATGCTATCTGCATTAACACCCTCTAGAAAGAAAAAAATAATTAAATATATCCCCTGAACCCACAGACTGAAAGAAATGATCTGAAAGCCAACACATCCTAATTATAAAAGTATTCACCACATGAATGATTTCAAACCAGATCAATTATTTTCTAAGATATAAATGTGTAAATATGATTTCAGATTATTCAATGTGAATTATCAGACTTGCGTCACAACAATGAATATCAATGCCATCAAGTAATAAGACATAAGATGTAGAAAATTAGAATATATGTAAATAAAATATTAAATAAAAACTTAAATAAAAACAAAAGTGCTCAAAGCTCTGATGGGAGCTGGAAGGCTGCATGAACAAGTAACATTTTGGATGTTTTCAGATACATTTTACATATCATACATATTACTCAAATATACTTCCCCAAACTAACTTACATTTTTAATTTTAAAAATGGGCTTGGAAATTAGTTTAAATAGTATTTTCATAGTTTTAAAAAGAGGAAAAAAAATCCAAGATTATTCTTTATTTCATTTACAGAAGATTAGAAATAAACAGATTGTCGGCTGGGCACGGTGGCTCATGCCTATAATTCCAACACTTTGGGAGGCCGAGGTGGGGGATCACGGCATCGGGAGATCAAGACCATCCTGGCTAACACGGTGAAACCCCGTCTCTACTAAAAATACAAAAAATTAGCCGGGCGTGGTGGCGGGCGCCTGGGGTTCCAGCTACTCGGGAGGCTGAGGCAGGAGAATGGCGTGAACCCGGGAGGCGGAGCTTGCAGTGAGCGGAGATCGCGCCACTGCACTCCAGCCTGGGTGACAGAGCGAGACTCTGTCTCATATTGTCCATGGATGCGAGGAAGAAAAACAAGTACTAGGAAAAATAATCTTTCTAATGTGAAACATTTTTAAATTTATAAATGTAGAAGTTGATCTCAAAGTTTTAAAATCATCTGTAGTAATACCAAACCCAGAAAACTTTATCAAGGGAAAAATGGAAACACAAGCATATCATTATCACCATTACCATTCTGGAGTACCTACTATGTACCATGGAATATGCTATGTCATTTCATATATGACGAACGCCAGTCCAAGTACATATTATTCCATACATAGCATGAAAGCATGGCAACATCACGCTGTGCTATGGGTTAAAATATTCAAACTCTCTAAAGTTAGTTTACAAAATTTAGACTTTCTTAGATTTATTAGCTTATATAGTTTTCTTAATGACAGAATATAAAAGAGAAAATATATTACATATGATATCATGCATTTTTAAACATAGCTACATTAGCACTGATAACTTTCTTATACTTTGGAAATACTGAATATTTAAATGTTTTATGTTCCCTCATGTACCTACAGAGATCTCAAAAGAACATAAACTCACTGTAAGGTTCTTTCTCTAGGTTAAAATACCTAAAAGTTCGAAGAGTAGTTTGGTAGAAGAGTAGGTTGCCTAAGATAATCTACTTTTATAAATGTTCATTTTACTTAATTTTCTGGTAATATAATTTAGTTAAAGGGAAGCTAAGTTCTTAAAAAGTCTGAAGAACGTCTCTAGAAACATAAGGCCTGTGGTTTTGCTAACTTGCACATGCCTCCCACTTTATCCTTTTTAAAGACTAAAAAAAATATAGATGTGAATTCAACAACTATATTATTTTATCCTCTTTCACTTCCCTCTGCCCTGATAGTCTAATGTTCTATTTGTCATAATGATATTAATGCTGCCAAACCATGTCCCTCAATTCATTTGAAACACAACTGTAACTTCACTAATTTCAAAGCATAATGCTACTCAGGATGGCGGTGAAGGAGACAAACTTTGCAAATATTATCGTCAACTATTTTCCCCTCCTTCTTCCCTGATATATTTTTAATGAGATACAATGGAAATAATAGAATGTAAAAAGAATATATACATGGCTCCATATATCTAAGTATAAAAGAAGTCCGTGGCCTACAGGAGCTACATATTCTAATATCCTCCTAATGCTTAAGGAAGCAATTGTGACATGCTGTTTTTGATCGTTAGATTTTGAGGAGTGATCAAAAATTGTACCAAAATATTTGTTAAGCGATGCGATTAAGTAACTGTTGTTATAAAATGACCACATTTGGTATAAAGTGTAAGAGAAGAATATGAAACTTCAATCGTATGAGCACTCCGTTTGAAAAAAGTATTATGATAAAACGTTAACATTTCTGGAAAATAAAAAGATAATTAGAAAATATACTGGACAGAATTTTTAAATTATGTTAATAACAAAAAATGTGGCATGGATCTAAATGATCAGATATTTAGGAGAAATATTTTCAGCATATGTTGAACTTGAACAAGCAGTTAGAAGTCCATGAAGGGTGAAACGTCAACATGAACCAGGTATTAAACAGGCAAAAAAGAAATGCTAAATTAAAGGGACCGATAGACTGATGCTGGATTGAGTCTTATTCAACATTTGTCTAAATGAGACGGGAACACAGAGAGAAATCACTTTGTGTCCCTGAGAAAGGTCAACCATACAAATCGTAGCAAATGAAAAAATGAAACTATAAGTTGATTTTCAATATGGATATGTTAATTTTGTTAAATGATAAAACTACAGTGAAGTACCAATAGGCTCTGCAGTATCCGTTAAAATCTAGGGACAGGTTTTAATGAGTCATTGTTGATCATTACACAAAACTCTATGTTTTGCCCCCCAAAAAATGTTGCAATATATCACTGTAAAAGAAATTTAAATGGTGAAGAAAAGTCAGCTTTGTACAAATTCATAACACTGAAATTTATAATACGCTCTATTTATTTGCATATTGATCTTTATAACTGAATGCAGGCAATGAAAATGCAGTGATAGGTAAAAGAACGACATCTATAATAGCAAAAAGGGGGAGGCAGGCAGAAAGGCAGAGAAATGACCGGTGAGAATTCTGGCGTTAAAGAGACCGGAGTTCAAATTTGATGCCCCTTACTAGATGTGTGAAATGGGTTCAGTTACTTAATTTCACTGGATCTTGTTTTTCTCATCCATGAAATGAGGATTAAAAATAGAATCGACCTCATAGGATACTTACCAAAGTTCTGAGTTAACATATATAACTTACTTATAACAAATGCTGACACATACTAGGCAACAAAGACATATTAGACAATGCCATATAGAGGAAATGAAAAAGAATATTCAGAAAACAAGGGACCAGCTCTCTTGTGTGAAAATTAGGGGGAGAGGAAGTCTTCTTAATGACTGAAACAGGACATGTATAAAAAGTTAATAATACTATTTTAAAATTAGTCCTAATTTTATATAATATATGACTAATATGGGATATAGAAGGTGTATTTATACATTTTTTAAAGAAGTTTTATCAATAACCAGGGATCCTTTGAGACCAGGAGTTCGAGGCTGCACTGAGCTATGATTGCATCACTGTATTCTAGCCTGGGCAACAGAGCAAGAGCCTGTCACCAACTAAAATAAAAATAAAAAGAGTTTATTTGGGAATCCTGGAATATTCTGCCACATTTATAATCATGTGAGATTGAAGTTATAAAGAAACGAAAACATTTCAAAAAAAACGTGGAAATTTCTAGATGTTACTAGAAAAGACATAATGTTGGGCACAGAAAATCAGAAGTCTTGCTATGAAGGATTTGTATGCAAACATTGTATTAATTCATTGTGAATATGCTGCCTGCTCAACAAGGGCATAAACTGTCCTTCTAAACTATAAACTCCTATAGGAAATGTCTCCACTGGCAGTATCTAATAGAATTCTCAGCTTGGAGTAGAAAGAGTATAACTACACTGTACTCATGAACTCATTCAATACCAAATCAATAGTGTACTCTATATGAATATAAAAATTATGAGACCAATGTACACTGAAGCCAAAAGCCATACACAAACAAGCACACAATCTCTCTTGTATCAAATTTGCTTTAAAATACTTGGGCAGGGGATGGAGAGGATGGTCACGTTACTTACTGACACTGTCACGTTAATAACCGACACTGTCACATTACTTAATGTACCTCTCTTCAATTAAAATGAGAAATGCTATTACTTCAACTTTATGAATTAATTGACCATCTAAATGCCAGAACTACTGTTGATTTTCTAAGAAAGTCCATTAAAACCTTTCTAGAATGAAAAAGGGTTCAAAGCGTTATCCAAGTAAATATTTGCATATGGATTTTATTATTATATATAATTGTTTTATATGTATTCCATAGAATTATGCTCCTTGACTCAATGGAAAATTTTAACTTTTCTAAGAGTTTGTAAGTGTAAATATCTGAAAAGTTTTAAGTATCAATCATCTGAGCATCTGTTTTCTAATTTTGTGTTAGCTATTTAAGAATACAAATACTAACACACCAGGCATTATGAGCAATACTTATGGAAACCATTTTGTTGTAGCACATTAGAATCTCAGGGATAATGGATCATAATCCATTCACATCTCATATTCTAAACAACCCCTGAAATAGTCTGTGAATAAATATATTGCACCCAGAGGAAATGGATCATTACTTGAAGTGTATCCATTAATTTTATTACTTGTGTACAGTGCATAACAGACTGTTAGAATAATGTTAAATGTGCACCACCTTCCATGCAAGTACTTCAGAACTGCCACTTAAAGTGAAGTATTCCTCATCAAGTATATTCATCATTAGCCATGAAGCCAGGGTAGAATAACACAAAACAAGTGTTTCCAGAGCTCTTGAATTAAAAGAATATTTGGAATAGAAACTTAAAATAAAGCTGCTAATAAACAGTCTCCTATTTTTGCTGAACTTTAAGTGAGGGTTATTACAAGTCCATTTAGCATTCAATGTAATAGTCTAAAATGTAATATAGAGATATTCAAAACCTGTGAAGACAAGTTCTGAGGCTAAATTTTAGAGGTTTCTGTGACCACACTGACTTAAAGTAATAGCTTTTAAAAATTAATAGTATATATAAAAGTAATACCCCTAGTGAGGGCAATATAAATTTTACTAATATAGCCCTTTTGCGTTTTTATTTTCAAACATCATAAAATTAAAAAAAGTCAGATTTTTACTCATATTTGTTTTGGCCACTCATTTCCCACAACAACAGTGACAACAACAGTCTCTTTCTTTCACACACATGGACACACACACGCACATGTCTGCGCATGCGAGTTCACCCGTGCATGCACGCCGTGCTCACACACACCCACAGAGGCTCTTCCTTTTGGAGATTAGACTTAAACGAAGAAAAATGTGCCTGTCAATTAAAAACATTTATTGAATGTGAACTCTGTGTAGAGCATTATACTAAGTGTCATGTGGAGAAAGAAGAAATATAAATCAAACTGCCCAGTACTGAGGAAGGAATAAGAGAAGAGGAAATATATGCAACTGTGGAAGGCTACTCATTCATGATGAAGGGGCTGGGCTACTACAAGTGGTACAGTCTCCATGCCACATTTGTATACAGACTATTTGCAATATGTCTTGCCATTAAAATATATGATTAGAAGACTTGCTGCTACTGAAAGTTTTTCCAGTGATCATGAGAGTTTTAGCTTTGAGATGAGCCAGACTGACCATAATCCCTACCCTCACCCATCTGACAAAATCTGGTTGCCCACCTCAAATAACATAATTCATGTGAAATTATCTAATGAGCTATGAACCAAAATACAAGAAAAAAAGATAGTTACTTGGTTAATGTTATGGATAAGAAGAGCTCTCGTCAGTGTTATCATTCTGTGCCATTTAATTACAACAGTTAGCATACTTATTATCAGGTATCACCTTAAACACTATAATCTAGCACTCAGGGAATGATAGTTTTGAGATGTTCTTTAGTCTAATATACTAATAATTACTACTTTTATTTAAACATGTCCTTGATGTGACTGTCCTTAGACTCTTAATTAACACACAGAAAACTACAAATAGAAATTGAAAATGAATCACAATTTAACTAACCCTATTACATAATTATAGTATCTCCTCTAGAAATTATGGTGAAAGGATCTTAGAGACTAAAGAACGAGAACCTGAGCTACGCCTACATATGTTTTCAAATAAATGTTTTGATATGGTCATCTTTTGGTAATTTCAGTATTAATATGGAAAACCAGTTTATCTAAACTAGGCTTTTTTGTGTTATGCCTGATTGATGAGACTGTATGTACTCATGCGAGAACACTGTTTTACAAAAAGGATTACGTCTAATCCTAAATAGATAAAAACAGACATATGTTTAGGTATAATCATATGTATATTATTTTAGCCCTAGGTTGTCCTAAAACTCCACAATCTCAATAATACACTGAAAGGCCTTGGTCATGAAAGGCATCAGTTTAAAGACTGTTCAAATTAAAATCTTAGAAAACCATTATTAGTTAGCAATATTATTAAAGCATTAGAAAGATTACTTACTATATTTAATGGCTAAATTTTTCTAAATTTCTAAATTATTTATAACATTTTGTATTTAAATTAAGAAATGTAAAAATAAACCTTAAAGTTATATCACATCTTTCTTAAAAAGTAAAATAAAGAATTTGGAAACTCCCTTTTCAATATGCACAGCTACATGAATATATAAATACATCACTAGATACCTGGTCTAGCCTCTCACTTGCCCTCATTAAGTTAACAGTTTCCTGAGACCAGGGTTATGATCCAAAGCTTACATATTGACGGTAAGCTGCATGAAAATTACAGCTATCCAAAAATGTCTCTAGTAAAAAGAGGTACTTTGCACCATCCAATATTCTGTCACATTTATCCAACCAATTAATGCTGACATAAGAACAGTAAATTAATTTTAATGTTAGTTCAAACAAAAAATACAGCTAAGATAGAGATAAATCAGTTAAAAATTATACCAAAATTTCATGCCAAAATGCCAGAAACGTGATTTTTTTTTTTAGTTAACACTCTCCTTTTAGTAGCTTCTCTTTTTAGTCTATGATCGTGAAAGATCACTTCTACTCTGACCAAAAGAACTGGAACATCCATAAGGAAAACGTCCATGTATAGTTTTAAAGCAGGCAAGGAATTTGGCCAACTCATTTCTTTGGTTAAAAATTCCAAATAAATTAGTAAGAATCTCTTACGGTCAATAAACTCTTAATATACAAATTATTGCTGTAAAATTAATGATATGGTTAATATTAACTGTTTTAAAATTCTGCATACAACTCTTCACATTTGATAAAATACAGTGAAAATAAAAAGTATCTTCCAATTGATCATAAAACTTGTATGTGACACTGAAAAACTGTACATATGTTACTAGACATACTGTTTCTAGAACGTACAACTGATTTTTAACAATACTTTGCACCATCAAATGAGGTTCCCTTCTACATTGTAACCATGGTAAATTTTGTACTTTCAACAACCTTAACACCCTATCCTGTCTTCTCAGCATATGTCTTAAATTCCTTCAACAAATTGCCTTCAGGACAAACAGATTTTGTTTTCTGCATTACTTAAGTGATGTTGAATCTTCAATGCTTCATAGACATTTAGAAACGGACAGAAATCATTTGGAAATATGTCTGATGTACCATTTCAGGTCAAAACTGAAGTAAAATTTAAGTTATGAGAAATTATTTTTTCCATCTTGGAATTTCATTCTAAAAGCAAACTGATGAATTACAAAATTATTCTAAATTTTTAAAAAGTAGTTTAATCTTAGGGCAAATTATTTTAAGTAGAAAATTCAGTTTGCTATGCATATACCAGTATAGATACATATAAAATATAGTTCACAGAATTTTTTAAAATCTATAATAGCTATACTTATGCTATTCTACATATTTTTACACTATGAATATATGTTAAATATTTTCACTGTGGTAAGCACACATCAAATTTATAAATATATACGCACATATTTTTATTAGTGGCATAATAATATGAGTGGTTTATACAAGAGTGGTTCATCTTTATCTTAACTTCTGAGGAAACTATACGTGGTTAAGAGGAACAGCCATTTACATGAGGTCCTAAATGAAGCACACTGATTCAGCTCTCATTTTCCTTTCTATACAAAAAGGGCAAGAATGTATGTGTCTTACGTGGTTGTGAGATTTATTATATCTCCATAGCCTAAGCTTGGGAAGGAAGATTCTGGACTTATAAATTTAAGAGCTTTAATGCAATAATTGCTGGACTCCTAGTTTACAGAAAGCTTCATTTGTCTTTCAGCTTCATGAGCTACACCACTCAACTGTACTTTTGGGCTCTATACTAAAGGAGCTATTATGATTTAGGGTAGCAGTCCCTCTGAAATACACCTGAAGGGGTACTTCAGGCACTTAATATGTGTCTAGCTTATCTCACAATTTGCACAATCACAGAAAATAAATATTATGCAATTTGTTCCTTGAACGACAAAAACGGAACAAATAGATAAGTTAGAATATTTGAGCCTTTAAGTAATTTCATAAATTATTTTATTTAATGGGGAAACAGAGCTATGGTCATTTTAAGTAGTCATCCTAGTTATGGCCCAAACTTGAGCCTAATGACGTATCAGTTCGACCATATCTTTACTGGTAGAACAAAAGGGTAGCATAAAATTTGATTAACACAGTCAACCAAACAGGAATGTCTCAAATCACACCCCTACCCCCCAGTGTTCCCTGGTATCTGCCAAAGTTAGCATTTTCCTTCAGATGGATTATTATTTTCACACCAAAATTACCAACGTTATTACCTCAACGACTGCCTTAATTTTGCTTTTCTAAACAGAATCTGGTCAATTAATATTTACTAAGCACCTACTATGTGTCCTGACTTTTCTACATGCCTCCAAAAATTAGAACTATGAGGGAAATAATCAAGAAAATTAATATTCTCACTAGTCACACGATCATTTAAATCCTGCATGTAGTTTTACTTACCAAAAATTAAAAATCATTCCCGTAATTTCTAAATGTTTAAATTATTTCTGATTAATTCAGTGTAGGTAAGCTTGATATATAACTATGACATGAGACCATTTAAAGTATAGCTCTTGCATCAGCTTATTAAAATGAAAAAGTGATAATACAGTTTCTAGGGGGAACTTACATAACAACTAGGAGAATATTTTTAGATCACATAATTTTATTTAACATGAATATGCTGTTAAGTTGATCAGTTAAAATTACCAAGCAACATACATCTAAATAAAAATCTACTGGTATTTTCATTACCTGTTCTTAAACTTGTTCACTCAAGTCTCACCTGTTATATTTGTTTGTTTTCATTTTTAACCAAATACAGTCAGTCATGGGACTCATTAGAAGAAGAAAATGAATTGATTTTCTAGGAAGACCACTGAACTTTTGAATGCCAAATTTGCAATTAAGGCAAAAAATAACTTATACACAGAATTTATGCCCCAAAATGCAGGCAGATTCTGAAAAAAGCTGACATGCACAACAAAAACATTTGTTGTATTTATTTATGATGTTCTTGTAAACGTCTTCTACAAAATGAAAAATAATCTTATTTGGAAATAGCATTATCCCTGATTTTCGTAAAATTTTATCTGGAAATATAGTAGTATAGCAATGATAATTTGAAAGAAGGTTGTTTACATATCATGTCAATGACACATTTGGTACACATAACTTTTGAGGCACTGAGTATTAGAAAAGATTAATTTTAATTTATTCTTGAAAAAGAAAGACAAAAACTTGGCTAGCTTTGTGCTTTTATCTCACTCTAAAAAAGTTACTTAAAAGTAAAGGTTATCCCGAAGAGACTTCTTTTTTAAATGAGAGGAAGTGATAAAAAGTAACACAGAAAATGTCATATATATTATTACAAAACAGGAATGACGGTAAAACATTCCATATAATTTTAGTGTTTGGAAAAACATATTGCAAAAATGATTTAAAATCAGATGATGATCAGTTTTACACATATAACATGACTGTTAATGTTTTCAAATTTCTGTTAACCTTATTTTCTTAAATTATTTGGATAAATTCTAGCAGATTTGCATTAAAATTTATTTCTCTGCTACAGACTGATAAAATATTCTACCACATCCCATTTTCTTCCAATGAACTCAAAGTTGAATTTCTCCTAATAATTTCCTTAGCATTAAAAAAAGAATAATAAAAAACATACAAACACCTTTTAATTTAAATTTGTATTTAACAAGTGCTTGTCTGATATAATTCAGCTGATAAATATGAACCTATGTGTTTATCAAATCCCTAAGAAGATTATCTAAATCAACTCGTGTAATTACCATTCACCATCTGTTCCACCAGGGCCTGAGCTGATCTGCTGGCATCTTGCAGTTTTCTGAACTTCTCAGCTTTTTCTCGCTCTATGGCCTGCAGCATGAGAGCAAAGATGAGTAATTCAATACAAGGACTGTGAATCTACACAATAATTATAACTTCTACTTGCCCTTTCAAGCCTTAAGATGTTTCACTCTGTCAGCTTATCACGTGAATCTAAAGACTTTTTCTCAACACTTTTGCCATCAAAAACATCAAAATGGCAATAAAAGCATGAGCCATTTTCATGACTTGCTACAACTTTTAATTATAAGATTTCTACTCAGCTTTTTTTTACATTATAGTTTCTGATACATTTCAACGCAAGACTGCAAAAAGTAAAAAGGCAATTCATAACAATGAAAGATAAAGTGTCACATAACTAAAATGAAATTTATCTTTTAAAGATACACCATTGAAATTACTAATAAGTATATAGGCGGTATTAAAAATCAAATTGAGAATCCAGTATGTATATAAGATGGAAAAAATAAACTACCATAAATAATTTAGCAGAAATATATAATATATGTACATATATATTTAAATACCAGGCTGTAGGCTAATTTTTCTTTCAAAAATAATCAAAGTACTCCTATTTCCAAGGAAGACAAGATTGAGTTTCAAAAAACTTTCTGAATTCCTTTATTTCCCTTAAGAGTTACATTTTGAACCACAAATGCAAAATTATTTCAGTTAACAATAGCCAGAATTTCATACTATTGAGTTTAGCTAATAATATTCCTATGGAGACATAAATTTTAAACTATGACAGAGTAGAACTACATTACTATAATCATCAAGAAGTGTTGACTATAACAATGTGTATGTCCTAAAACATAACTATTCAAATAACTATAACGCAATTAAAATATAGTAAGAACAACACACCTGTGACTTAACAATCATATTATAACAAAGATTTCTCTTGAATTTGAGGCAGAAGGTTATTCTACATGAGACTATTTTTTAAGACTTCATTTACATCCACAGGCATTTAAAAAAATATTTCCAGGTAAAATACTGGAGTACAGATGGGAGGGCAAATAACAGATACATGGACAGTCTGCACCACTGTTGAGTATAAATTTGTGCAGGGATGGAAATGATCTGTATCTGTGTCATCCAATATGATAGCCAATAACCACATGTGGGTATTCAGCACTTGAAAGGTGGTCAGCATGACTTGAAAATAAAAGAATATTTAATTTAATCTAATTTTATTTATTTTAAATAATTTAAAATTTAAAGGTTACATGTGACCAGTGTTAACTGTGATTGTACAGCGCAGATCTAATACATTCCTTTAAAAGCAAATAGTTAAGAGATAGGCCTGTAATCCGAGCTACTCAGAAGGCCTGGGCAGGAAGACTGCTTCAGTCCAGGGATTTGAGATCAGCCTAGGCAAAATCGAGAGACCTCCATCTCTAAACAAACAATTTTAAAAAATTAGTCAGGCGTGGTGACAGGAGCCTGTAGTCCCAGCTACTCAGGAATCTGAGGCAGAAGGACTGCTTGAGCACAGTAGTCTGAGTAGGCTGCAACGAACTATCATTGCGCCACTGTACTCCAGCCTGGGCGACAGAGGGAAACTCTTTCATATAATATGGCAATATCAGAAATAGTTGCAGAGAAAAAGTAATCATCTAGACAACACTATTTACTAAGCACATTAAATTATGTAAATGCTTATACAATAATCCACATATTTTTATGTATCTGAAAAGACTATCTAATTTAAAGAAATAGCTACAAATGTAAAGCTTTTTGTTTTTGTTTCTCTTTGAGACAGAGTCTCACTCTGTCGCCCAGGCTGGAGTGCAGTGGCATGATCTCAGCTCACTGCAACCTCTGCCTCCCGGGTTCAAGCAACTCTCCTGCTTCAGCCTCCCGAGTAGCCGGGATTACAGGCGTGCACCACCACGCCCAGCTAATTTTTGTATTTTTAGTAGAGACAGGGTTTCACCATGTTGGCCAGGCTGGTCTCAAACTCCTGACCTCATCATCCGCCCAGCTCAGTGCTGGGGTGGGGCGGGGGGATTACAGGTGTGAGCCACCGTGCCTGGCCTGAATAAAGGTTTTCTTAAAAATTTATTTTAAAGAGTTTCCTAAGTGGGAGACCTGACGATATCTGACTTCAAGGCTTGATATAAAACTGCAGTAATCAAGACAGAGTAATATTGGCAAAAGAACAGACAGGTAAATCAATGGAACAGAATAGAAAGCTCAGAAACAGATCCACATAAATATAATCAATTGATTTTTGGCAAAGGAACCAAGGCAATACAGTGGAGAAAAAGTCTTTAAACAAATGGTCCTGAACAACACAACATCTACATGCAAAAAAGTTTATCTAGGCATAAACCTTACACCCTTCTTTTGTTTTAATTACAATTATTTAATTCCAATTTATTTACTTTCATGTTATTCACTGGATCAACTTCATTGGAAGTTTATACTTTTGATGGTGAAATATCTGACATTATTGTGAATTTTATCACAAATTCACTTTAAAATTTCAACATTGAATATATCTGTACAAATGATAACATGGGCTGGGTGCAGTGGCTCACACCTGTAATCCCAGCACTTTGGGGGGCCAACGCGGGTGGATCACCTGAGGTCGGGAGTTCGAGACCAGCCTGGCCAACATGGTGAAACCCTGTCTCTACTAAAAATACAAACATAATTATCTGGGCATGGTGGCAGGCACCTATAATCCCAGCTACTCTGGAGGCTGAGGCAGGAAAATCCCTTGAACCCGGGAGGCAGAGGTTGCAGTGAGCCGAGATCACACCATTGCACTCCAGCCTGGGTGACAGAGTAAGACTCTGTCTCAAAAATAAATAAATAAAATAAAATAACATGAACATATATTTTTGTGGAACACAGCATTATGGTTGAAAACCATGTTTTCTTGGATACACATGGATATAAAGATGGGAACAAGAAACACTGCGGACTACTAGAGTGGGGAGGGAGTGAGGGGAAAAGGTCCAAAATAGTAGCTATTGGATACTATGCTCAGCACCAAACCTCAGTGTCACACAATATACACACGTAACAAACCTGCACATTTACTCTTGAATCCAAAAGTTGAAATTATAAAAAATAAAATAAAAATGAAAAATAAACATACCAAAAATAAATACATTTCCACTGAATTTAGAAATTTGTGTAACTGCTTGAAAGTAATTGTGGTGTTCATATAATTCATAAAGTTAATTAATAATGAATCAATCACAGACTCTAGAGTAAAATGTAAAACTATAAAACTCCTAGCAGATAGCAGTGGAGAAAACAGAGGTGACTTTGAGTTTGTTGATAGTTTTTTAGATACACCACCAAAGGGATGATCCATGAAAGAAAGAATTAATAAGTTGAATAGTACTAAGTTAAAAGGTTCTGCTCTGTGAAAGATGCTGCCAAAAGAACGAAAAGAAAAGCCACAGGCTCAAAGAAAATATTTACGAAAGACATATCTGGTAGAGAATTCTTATCCGAAATACACAAAGAACTCTTAAAACTCAGTAACAAAAACAAACAAACTAAAACATGGGCAAAAATCCTTAACAGACACCTCACCAAAGGAAGTATACAGATGGCAAATAAGCAAATGAAAATATGTTTCACATCATATGTTACCAGGGAATTACAAATTAAACAATGAGATACCACTACACACCTATTAGAATGGCCAAAATCCAAGAACACTGACAAAACCAAAAGCCGACAGAGAAATGGGGCAATGGGAACTCTCATTCATTTCTGGTGGCAATGCAAAATGGCACAGCCACTTTGGAAGACAGTTTGGAGGTTTCTTACAAAAGTAAACATTCTACTATATGATCCAGCAATCATGCACTTAGGCATTTACACAAAGGAGTCATATGTCCACTCAAATTCCTGCACATGAATGCTGCAGCAGCTTTGTTTGTATTTGCCAAGACTTGGAAACAATCAAGATGTTCTTCAGTAGATGAATGGATAAATAAACTGTGAGACATCCAGACAATGGAATATTATTCAGTGCTTAAAAATGAGCTATCAAGCCATAAAAAGACATGGAAGAACTTAAATGCATGTTACTAAGTTAAAGAAGATAATCTGAAAAGGCTATATATTTTACCGCAGGATTTCACCCTAGATTCCAATTCCGAATATATGATAGTCTGGAAAAGGTAAAACTATGTAAACTACAAAACAATCAGTGGTTTCTAGAGATTAGGAGAGAAGTGTAGATGAACGGGAAAAGTATTGAGGATTTTTATGGCAGTGAAATTACACCGCATAACACTCTAAAGATAAATACATGTCATTGTAAATTTGTTTAAACTCACAGAATGTGTGGCACCAATAGGGAAAGCTAATGTATAAACTATGAACTTTGGGAGATAATGATGTGTCAATGTAAGTTCATCTGTTGAAACAAATATACCACTCTAGTGGGAAATGTTGACAGTGGGGCAGGCTATGTATCTGTGGGAGCCGGGTTATATGGGAAATTTTTGTACCTTCTGTTCAATTGTGCTGTGAACCTATAATTACTCTAAAAATGGAGTCTATTAAAATCACAAAAAAAGGTTTCATGAATTAGGAATACTGGATTCAATATCAAGAGTACAAAATGCTAAAAAAAAAAAAAAAAGCCAATCATTCACAGAATAAACTCCATCAGGAATAGCTGTAATATATAAAATACTAATTAAAACTGAGAATAAATTAAGAGTAAAATTTAAAAAAAATCTATAAGGTAGTAATTTTGTTTTATTTTCTTAAATACCTATCTCTTAGCTGAAAGATACACATTTTACATGGTGCTCTGAAGGGCAACAAATGAAAACTCAGTTTTGTCTAATTAGTTAAGAAACTCTGAAAGTGACAGACACTTTTTAATATCTTACATTCCACTTGAAAATTTCAAAGCACCCAGTTTGTGGTATTTTGTGATTTTATGTTCCCAGGATCCCTTTCCAATTAGCAGGTAAAACTTCTGAGTTGTCTTGAAATTCAGTTTCACAAAGACAGTATTGAATTGTTTCCAGGAACGTGCACAATCATGGATGGTTCTAATTTGTTGGTTGAACTGAAAAGTCCATGAAAATAGAGTAGCTACAACATCTAGTTAAAAGTAAGATCCTAGATGAAGCTCCAATATTTCTATTTTCTCAACTTATTAGTTTTTGTGATCTAAGTTATCTGTCCTTAGCAGCTTATGGCATACTTGTTTTTCACTACTTACATTTATTCTCCATTAAAAGGTAAATGTTATATGGAAAGCACCCTGAGCATCTTAGAGGAGAAAAAATAAGCACATTTAAGTAAATATGTAATGTAAATATCAAGAAAGACAGGAGGATTTGGGGTGTCCAGAATTTGAACTTTATCCAGAAAACAATATACAGATGAAAGAAAAAATATATACCACAATACAACACATAAAGGAACAATGACAACAAGCTGAGTAAAGTGATGTTCTTTGAGTTACTTTTAGAGTTATCTTCTCCTATCAGAGGGGTTTCTATTTTATCTACATTGAGCTTTTGCTTTAGTTTTTGTGAAATGATATAAAAAGTAGAATGAGAACACTATGTGGTCTTTATAAATATTGAAAATAAATTATCAATAGCCCTCTAAATGTTATCATCATAATCTCTTTATTCTAAGCTTACTAGAATCAATTAATATTACTAACAGAGAACAAAACTTATATTTGAATATCTCAGGAATCATATTTGACCTTTAATATCTTGTTAACCACATTGTTCCAGTTATTCTAATATAAATAGTCTCAGTAACAACCACCACAACTACAACAAAAACAATAATCTATAAAGTAGGTACTATTACTTTCCCATTTTGACAGAGGAGGGAAGTGAGGCACAGAGAGGTTTGTGAAAATTTTGAAAACAATGCAATAGCCACATTGAAAATAAGATTCCTTATACTACCAAATTATAGTTTATGTACATAATTTCCATATGTATGTCATAATAATTGTAAGAAAGAAGAAATCAGCATTGTTGTATACCATTTTATACAAGAGAAAACTGAGCATCAGTAAGATTAAATCGTATATCAAAGGTCATCATATTAGGAAGTTTTAGATTCAATATTAGAACCCTGCTCTTCTACTTATAATTTCAGCTTTCTTTCAGACATGCTCTGCTGTTGCTAGGGGTATTTCAATGGATATTATTCAAAAAGGTGTGAGCGTATCAGAATATATATCAGAGCAAACAGAGCTTATAGTTTGGATGTATTAGGGATGTTCAACATATTTAACTATTAATTCAGCAGGGCCAACAAGATATCACAAGGAATGCCGGGTCACTCAGAATGGTCTCTGACAGTCTATAGGCTGATTACCAACTCTGTATACAGCTCAAATAAACTGAATAACTGGTGCATAAAGAGACACATAGACCCCAGAAAGAAGCAGTCAATGGTATCTGCATATTTGTCAATGTTCAGACGATATCTGGGTTCTGTTAGGGCACATTACTTTCAAGAGGAACATTGCAAAATGAAGAGGAATATGCATACAAGTATGCCTTGAAGAGTGTGAATGAGACAGTGAAGAGCCCAGAAAACATTTCATTTCAGACACAGCTGTAGATAGTTGATTAAAAATAATAAAATTTAGTATAACAAAGAGATGTTAAAGAAGATACTACAACAAAAGGGCCTGCAGTCACCCTTTTTGCTCTGCTGTTATCAGTTCTGTCTCTACTGCTTACTATCTGTCCCTAATAAAGTACTTCGACCTTTCTGAACCTCAGTATTTCCTATGTAAAATAGCAATAAAGATACCTACCATGTGGGACTTCTGAGGGGATTAAAGGAAGCTCGCTATTTATTTCCCAAAATGAGATAGTTTTTATAGTAAAATGGGGAGCTAGGAATAATTAAGCTGAGAAAAATGGTTTGACATAAGCTAAGACTATACCCGACAAACTGAAATATGTGCTCATTCTACTTAAAGGTAACTTCAATAATCTTAAAAAGAAATTTAGGAAACTTTTTTTTTTTTTCTTTTTGAGACGGAGTCTCGCTCTGTCGCCCAGGCTGGAGTGCAGTGGCGCAATCTTGGCTCACTGCAAGCTCCGCCTCCCGGGTTCACGCCATTCTCCTTCCTCAGCCTCCTGAGTAGCTGGGACTACAGGCGCCCGCAACCATGCCCGGCTAATTTTTTGTATTTTTAGTAGAGACGAGGCTTCATGGTGTCAACCATGATGGTCTTGATCTCCTGACTTCATGATCCACCCGCCTCGACCTCCCAAAGTGCTGAGATTACAGGCGTGAGCCACCGTGCCTGGCCACGGAAACATTTTTGACACAAGAGATGATGAGAGTACCTTGTTCGTGGAAATGTCCAAATAACCACATATAAAAAGTGTTAAAAAAAAAAAAAAAAAAAGGTTAAGTAAATAAACATCACTGAAAATCGCCATTTCTCCTGGGATCTGGCCACCCATACGTTCGTCCTCAAATGAAATATATGAACTTCTGTTTTCAGGTAGGTTGGATCAGTAGTTCCTAAAATTTCTACCGTCTCCCATTAACTCACAGAAATATACATTAAAAAGCACAGAAAAGCACAAAAACCAAAAACAAAGTCTAAAGAGATATATTTTGCTGAAAAAGGAAGATAACTGTCCTCATTTTAAGTGACTGTGTATCAACAAAGAGGAACATAGGCCTTCCACAGGTCTATCTTGCAAAGTAAAAACTGGTTCAAAACAAAAACAAAAACTGGCTCTCACATCTATTCTCTTACTCAGTCCCATCAAAACTGCTCTTATCAGTCTCACCATTGGCCCCCAAGCTACTGCATTCAATGACTGATGTTCAGTTCTCACTTTACCTATCACCATGATTTGATTGAGAGGATTCCTTTTTCTTCTTAGAAGTATTTGCTAATTTGGCTTCACGTACTACTTGAACACAGTTTTCCTCCAACTTCAGAGGTCACCTTTCCTCCATCTCCTTTGCAGGTTCCTAATCATGTCCCTGAGCTCGCACTTTGGAGTGTCCTAGGCCTCAATCTGTGTTTTCCTTTGTTTAGGCCAAAAACAGAATCCTCCACTCCCCTCTCTCTCTCAAGCCTCACATTCAATCCATCACAAAGTCCTGTTGGCTCTAACCTCAAAACATAGCCAGAAAGTGAGTTATCATGGTGCTCACTACTACCACATTAGACAAAGTACCCCATCATCTCTGAGGGGTATGAATGTTTCAAAATAGGATACTAAAGGTCTTTATATTTCACCCTTTGTTCTCTGATTATATATTATCAACACAGCAGACAGAGACAACAGGATTCAGCTCAACTCGCTGACAGCTGAATAAAAGCTCAAGTCCTTACCATGGTCTGATCTTAATTAACTTCCTTAACCTTTCTGAATTCTTCTGCTGCTAAACATCGTGATTTTTCTGCTGCAGCCACACGCTTACCTTTTCCCTGATGCTACAGGCATGCTGCTGTTACACGGCTGTGCATTTATTTTTCCCCATGCCTAAAAAGGCCCTAAATTACTTACTTGGACATTTTCCCCCATCAAATGCCACTTTTTCAGCTAGGCCTTTTAGTGCCACTCTGTCTACAAGCACATGCATACCCTCTCATTTTATTCTGCTCCTTGGAACTTATCACTAACATTCCACATGCTTTACATATTAGTCTTGCTTCATTTCCATCTTTCCCACTAGAATGTAAACTATATAAGGTCAGGTATCCTTATCTATATCCTTCTCTACTCTATCCCAAGTCTCCATGAAAGTGGCTGGTACATTATAGGTACATAATAAGGCGAGCTCTATTTTAGCGTAACGCGTCCATATACAATATTATGGTCTCTCCCCTTACCCACAATGCTCTCTTAAAGTGCAAATTCATAACGAACTCTAATAGCTTTATATAAAGTGGCCATAAAACCAGTACATGGGGACAGGTGCTGCAAGCTCAGTAAAGGAAGGATGGATTAAATCAAAGTATTCTAGAAACTGCATATTAGTTAGGGAGTTGGGCACATCCATCTTTTCTTCAGCTCAAGTCCTGATACTGGTAATAAACCAATACCTAAGTAGAAAAGAAAGAGTACCATATACAATCCATGAGTCAAAACTTGGTAGAATCTTACCTCTCTGTTTTTATTTCATGGCTCTGATCTTCCACCTCCTCTCTCTATGTGTGTGTATGTACATATATGTACATACACATACATACTGTATATATACCCCTTTCCCATGTTTTCAAGACCAAGGGTATCATCTGAATACTCTTCAACCACAGTCTTCATTTTCTTTTATATATTTCATCTTCAATGAAATTTGGACTAATATTACCATATTAGTCCAAATTCCAGTATTTCAATATTACTCCAAATACCTACAGTCAGACTTCAGCCTTCACTACTGTACAAAAAGTTATTTTGTGAAAGTCATTAATTTGGCCGGGCGCAGGGGCTCACGCCTGTAATCCCAGCACTTTGGGAGGCCAAGGCAGGTGGATCACAAGGTCAGGAGATGGAGACCATCCTGGCCAACAGTTGAAACCCCGTCTCTACTAAAAATACAAAAAATTAGCTGGACGTGGTGGCACGTGCCTGTAGTCCCAGCTACTCGGGAGGCTGAGGCAGGAGAATCGCTTGAACCCGGGAGACAGAAGTTGCAGTGAGCCAAGATTGCGCCACTGCACTCCAGCCTGGGTGACAGAGCGAGGCTCCGTCTCGGGAAAAAAAAAAAAAAAAAAAAAAAGAAAAGAAAGTCATTAATTTTCTTCTTGTTAGGAAAAATGCTTCTTACAACATTCAGTACTGATAAAAACTACAATTACCTCCTCGAAATTGCCATGTTCATAAAAATACCTCTGCCCTTGACAATATTATCTTTCTCTTAAATTTCGTCCTCATGAAGTCATCCAGCTTTTCTGTATGTGTGTTTTTCTATAGAGCTGTTTATCATATATGTGTCTACATGCATATACATTTTTAATCTTGAAAGGATCTATATTTCATAACATACAGTTTTTAAATTATGCTATTAACATATAGAATACTAAATACTTTACTCAATATATGCTTAATATATGATCACATGTTTAGAAGCCACTACTCGGATTCTAAATTATTTAGTACACATAATTTCAAGTAAAGTATACAGAAGCTAAAAAAGGCATCAGTAAATCAATGTATCAGAAATGAGTGATTATTGTGGGCTCATGAAAATTCTTAGAGATCATGAAGAATTATAAATACTAAAATGGGTAACCTAAATGCAAAATAAAAGGCAACTAAGTTATATAATATTCAATAAAAGGAAGAAAAGTAAAATAATTTGAAGCAAAGAATACAACACAGGGAAGTTCACAAATTCCTCAATAAGTTGATTAAAACCTCTTTCAGACCTCTGTTCCTCCTTCTTTATTAGCACCTCTTAAAAGCCTCCTCTTTCTGTATCTTCTCTAACATTATGAAAATAAGTTATGGATCTCTATCAGTCCTACTCCGACATTAGAAGTAATTAAGAATCTACTCATTTAACATTCTATAATGAAGTTTTACCCTTTGACTGAAGAGTAACTTATTCACTCAAATGTTTATTCAGAAGTTGTTCTATCCTTCATATTGGTAATAGATCCTATCTTAAATGCAACTGCAGAACTGAAAAAAATCACATATCCATATAGTTAAACATTTATTGGTTTGTGTGTTAGGCATGGGGACACCAAAAACAAAACACACACACATAAAACCAAAGCCACTTCACGTTCAAGTCCTGATTTCTAGAAACCAACAATGGAATTGAAATGAAAATGGCTAGAAATTAGTTTGTGCAAGTAAACAAAAATTAGATCATTGTAGGCTTTAAGAGGGCAATATGAAGACATGGACTTTGTCAACACTCTTCAGACAAAGACCACTGGAACATATTTGTAGGTTATCAAAGTTAACCTGATTTACACGCTGCAACGAGAGAGACAGCGCATCACAGGGAACTATGGGGCTGTCTCTAAGAGTATGTTAGAAAAAGCTTATTTTAAGATGTGGGCTTGTGTTACATGATAGGGGGCATCAAGGAAGTGGGGCTTTGTTTTGATTGGATGTTGTAAGGAAGTAGGGTAATTCTATGTTGAGTGTCCTAAAATTTTTATCTAGATGGCAGGAGGAATGCAGAGAGGCTAAAGCTGTGTTTAGTAAAGAAGCATAATGTGTCACATTAATGAAGATGAGGGATATTTGGTCATTAGGCGTGGTTTGGACAATGCTATTCTTTTTTACTGTATTAAGATATGATTACAAAGTGGTCTTGCTTTTATCTTGATTCATCACAACCATAGCGTGTCCCTGTATGATGCTGGCATCCCTAGCAATTATTTATATTCAACCAGAGAACATCAGACTGGCTGCAAGTACCAAGGCAACATCTAGCAGTTCCAAAGCCTAACTGAAGTGCCAAGCCAGCTCCTGGCTATCAGTAGCTGATTTTATCTTTCTCAAATGATTATAAACACAGACATAACAAGATCATACTGAGGTTTTAATATGTTCGCTTTGGCAGAGGTGATGTGGAAACTTCTAAAGGAATATAACATTAGTAGCAGGGAAGACCAGCTACAGGATTGTCATCTTAAATAGAAGTAAGCCATGATATTAGCTTTAATCAGGGTTTTGGTGATGGGAATAGAGAGAACTGGACATTTTCAAGAGCTGTTAAGGGAGCAGGATTAATTGAACCTGTCAAAGATTGGACTTGTGAATGGTAGAAGAAAAATCTAGGTGACCCAGTTCACTTTCAGGTTTCTGGATTAGGCTGTTTGCAGGGTGAAAGGAAGGAGAAAGAATAAAGGAGGTCTGGGGAAATAATGAGATTTAAGATATCAGGCAAACATCAATTAAAATTGTCTATTAGGCAGTCAGATATATCACCCTGGGTTTTAAGAAAGAGATGAGCTAAAGATACATATGGGAGAAGGGTTCATTTGAAAATAGACACTATTTGAATGGGAATGAATGAGGATATCCAGAGAAGAAACACAAGGACTCTGAAGAATATCAATATTAAAGAAAAACTGAATTGGAACAAATGGCCAAGAATGTGAAAGAATTAATCAGGAGAAAGCAGTATCCCATAAGCCAAGCGAGGAAAGAATTTCATGAGGGAAAAGAGGTTAATAGGTTCTAGTTCTACAGAGGGATTGAGTAAGATAAGGCACGTTAAGTATTCACATGCATGTTTATAGGAGAGGACACGTTCTAAAAGATGAAAACACAACCGGTTTAAAAGCTAATGATAAAGACCTGGGATGTAGATTTTTGACAATCTGGATATACAGCTGAATGGAACCAGGTGGCTTAATACATAGTCAGTGATGCTGCTGAGAACACACACCCAGAGATGAGCCTCAACCAGGTGAAGGATAGCCTCTTCCACTAAGGCAGGTGGAAAAAAAAAAAAAAAAAAGATACTATGAGCACAAATACCCACAATTTGAGAAATATTATTTCGACTAAAGTAGGAGATGAAATCATTTACTGTGAATGATGGGGAAAGTTTAGGTACCCCACAAAAGCTTGAAATAATTGTTGAGAGAAACTAAGTTGAAAATATACTTAGGATGCACGGAAAGCTTATGAAGAACTGCTGGTTTTGTTAAAATATGTTGTTAGTGCCGGGCGCGGTGGCTCACGCCTGTAATCCCAGCACTTTGGGAGGCCGAGGCGGGCGGATCACGAGGTCAGGAGATCGAGACCATCCTGGCTAACACGGTGAAACCCCGTCTCTACTAAAAATACAAAAACTTAGCCGGGTGTGGTGGCGGGCGCCTGTAGTCCCAGCTACTCAGGAGGCTGAGGCAGGAGAACGGCGTGAACCCGGGAGGCAGAGCTTGCAGTGAGCCGAGATCGCGCCACTGCACTCCCGCCTGGGACAGAGCGAGACTCCGTCTCAAAAAAATAATCTTATTAAAGAAATGGAGTAATGCCTGACAATGACAACATCTACATACATACAATCATGACAGCAGGTAGCTGAATTGAGGAGATGAGAGAAACAACAGCTTTTAGTGATAGCAGGAGAGCCCACAGGGATGCTGAAATAACTAAGAATGAAAGAACAAATTGGTTGAAAAAATCTACTAACCTAGTGCCAAAGTCTTCAATGAGAAAATATGATAAAATGGTAGATAAGAGATGGCCAGAAGTCATTAACTGCAAGGAAAGAGGTATTTTTACATGAAGAGAGCAGTATCTTTGGAATTGTCTCTGTTAGGTGAGGGAGTCAGTCATTCTAAAGTAGTGGGGGTACAAAAGAGGGATGAGTCATAGTGCTGTTTTCGAGGGTAAAATTGGTTTCCACGTATGAGTAGAATAAGTATATAGAAGGCTTGTCTTGAAAAAGTGTTTGAGCCTGCCGAGTGAGAGTGTGGGAAAGCAGAGGAAGTGAAGCAAGGAAAAGAAAGTGCAATAGAGCAGAGAGAGAAAGATAGAAGAAAATATAGACTCGAGGTACCTATACTCTGGGTAGTAAACACAGATAACAGAGATAGGAGAAATTGGAAGCATTAACTGGCTTGATGATTTCCAGCGGGAGTTGGTAAAAAGTTGATTCTGAAAGAGGGTAATCAAGTGCAGATCCGAGGAAGAGCCCAAAGCCAGATGACCATAACGACTTGATAGGGAGGGTTTCAAGAGAACCTCACAGAAGCTCCAGATTTTCAGACACCTTATCAAATCCCCTTGTGATCAAAGGAGGCTATTTTTTTTGTTTGTTTCATTACCAATTTGCGTTACCATGTGCTCACGGAAAAAATTCGAGTTGTTAGAATCTGTTAATTCAGCTAAAAAGTCTGAACTGCAGTGATACTAAAAGAATGTGAGAGGTAACTGCTACGTAAAGCCCAAGATTGTGTCCTAGAATATTGATTCTCGAGCCTTTATGTGCATAGGAATCACTCCTGGAAAATGTTCAAAGGCAAATTTTGATTTACTAGTTCTGAGATTCTATATTTCTGACAAGCTCCCAGATAATGTCAATATTGGTGGTCCAGGGACATTTTGATTAGAAAGGTCCCCCAGAAGTCAGCTTTTAAATAAGTGCATTTTGTTAATTATATGAATAAAACACATGGTGAATATACAAGGAAAAAATTATGCTTAGGTTTAAAAGTTGCATTTTTTAAAATATGTGAAATTGAACTGATAATGGCCTATGATATGCTAACTGGCTAAAAGCATTTGAAAGGAGTAAATGAAGAAATCAAGTGAAAAAAAAAAGAGTTGGTAATATTTAGCCATTTTTAATGAAAGCCTAAAAATGGATTAATACCACTCAAGTTCATGACACGAGCCTGCCATGAGTTTAAAATAACCTATATAAACCGACAGGTGATGTAGTAAGAAAATTAATGGATACCTAAACTGAATATCCATCATCGTAATTATGTATTTCTCTCAAGGATTTTTAATACATATACATTGTATTTAGCCTGAGGGAAACATCAAGGTAAATCATTTCATGTCCCATTTTAGTAGGCAATTAAGAATGATGTTGTTATTTCAGAAAATGAGAGTTCAGGTTGATAAAGGGGACTCACAAGGTATCAGAAAACCAGTTATAAAACACTGTACATTTTTGAGCACTTTTAGTCTGTCATGCTCCCGCTATTGATAAAATGCAAATCGTTCATAGGTAACCACATGATAACAGGAACTTTTAAAATTTATATTCCTGAAATACTGAAACTCAATTTTCCTGCCTGATCAAAGCTGTCTTAAGATAAAGAAACAGAGTATCAGACAGAAACCTGTGAGAATCAGATCAATAATCATTTTTAATTAGCTAATAAAATGCTAAAGGTGATTCATACTTTCAGTGGTCAAATATGTAACATGATGTTTGAAAATTAGAGTTTAATGTTCTCTAATTAATTTTCTACTACTAAGAGAATTTCCCTCAAAAATCACAGCAAACAATTTACCTTCAAAGAAGTATACTTGAAAAAAGACATTTAGCTAATTTTCTACAATTATATATTATCTTTCAGTTTTCATATTTCCCATTTCTTGAAACAATTTAGAATAGTCTATTATAATGCTGACAACAGCATGTCTTATAAAGCTAATAAGTAATTTAAAATAGCTTTCCAATTTATAAGTAGTTAACTCTAAGAAGAACTGGTGACAAAATTGTCTTCCCTTTTTCAAGCAGCCTAAAAAATAGATTTTTTTTCCAGAATATATATATATCTTTTGTTGATCTCCAAAAGTTCCAACCCCAACAGCAAACATTAGCTTGTAACTGAGGTAATGTCGTATTTGTAAAAATACAATGGATTTTGAACTTCATGATTTGAATCCTGGAGAGAAAAAGCAGAGCTAATATACACATTTAGATGTGATCTTCCCATGGATAAAATTACTTTTCATTCATAATCACTGCTTCCTTAGCTTGCCCATTTTATTTACTCTGCCTGTTAGAAATTATTTTACAAACTGTTGCCAATCATATACAAAGATGCATGTTTTATAATTGTTGAAGTTGAAAAATTAAAGCCTTGACAATTTCCCTAAAGATGAAACACTTTATATTAAATTAATAAAACTTCCTATTTGTGAAGGTCAAAATTATACCATCTCAGAAGGGAATAACAACAACAAAGCATCTGCTACCACATGTAAATACTGAGAAAGGCTGGACACCTTTTAGATAAGGTAATACACAAATATCTGGGAAATTTAAATATCTTATAATATATGACAGGGATTGATGACTATAAAGAATAACTTTTTGATAACAGTGAGAATATAGACATAGTCCTAAGTATGGTATCTATTATATTATTCTATTCTATTTTACTCTATTCTACTCTACACAATTGTGCAAGCTTGCTAAGGCCTAGCCTTGAGGTAACTGAACAATATATGAAAGGAATCAACATGAATTAATGTCATAAAATTGTTAATTTATAGTTAAATAATATGTAAGTTAAGGCAAGTTTATGAAAGGCATCCCTAGTCAGTCACAGAAGAATCCAGAAAGATTTCTCTAGGCTAAACTTTGATTTTGCTTGCTATCTAAAATATATTTTTAAGACATATTAAACAGCATTTTATCATATCGCATTAATCTATCAACTAGTAGAATCACAGATAACAAAGCACGGAGTTTACAAGCAGCACAAAATGAGTACAGATATAAAAATTAATGCATAACCTACATTGACTTTTTCTTTTAAGTCTGAGAAGTTGCCTTCCTTCCGAAAGATTGCAAATTCAGGACTCTGCAACACAGCTTCTGAGCGAGTAATCCAGCTGTGAAGTTCAGTTATATCAACATCCAACCTAAGACAGCAAAAAATAAAAGTCATTATTTCTTGATTATCTCTTTCTTCTATATTAAAAAAAGCAATTTATCCACATTTATCATTCTTTTCTCAATCTGAGACTCCTGCCTGACACCTCTATTAGTATTAATAGCAGCACTATTTTCCCTGTTAGGTAGACTCAAATTTGGAGTCAGCTTTGATCTAGAGTCTTATGATCACAGAGGTCATTTTATTCACCTCAATGTAAAAATCACTTCTACAATATATCCTGTAAGCTATTACCCAGCCTCTGCTTGAATGTTTCCACTATTTGAAAAAGTACTACTTCCCACGATAACCTTTTCTTTTTGGAAAGTATTTATGAGAAAAAAAAAATTCCTGTTGGTGGTCACCATTGAAACACATGCTTTTCTGTAGTCTCCAATCATACTGCCTCTGGGTTTGGCCACGTGACTTTCTATCACAAATGGGACAATAGTAAGAGTACTGCAAGTAAGGTTTTGAGAAGTGCTTGCATGTCAGAGCTTGACTTTTTAGAGCACACATTCTGAGAAGACAACAATTATATAAGAAGTACAATGACCTTGAGGTGATCATGTTTTAAGGAAACTTGATCTGTCCATGTGAAGAGGCCACATGAAGAAGCATGGGGCACCAGGCATGCAAATAAAGCCCTCTGTGACCCATCTCAATGCCAGCTGAAGACAGACAAATGAGTGCTCCAGTTGATGCCACATAGAGAAAAGAAATACCCAAAGGGCACTGCCTACGTTGAAGAATTAGGAGAAATAATAAATAGGTGCTGTTTTAAGCCACTACATTTTGGTGTGAGTTGTTATGCTGCCATAAATATCAGATCACCTATCCTGTTATTTTCAAACCTTTTTTTTTTTTTTTTTTTTTTTTTTTGGAAGAGATCTTTGGAGCCACCAGGGATAAATTATTCATTCTAATCTGGTGATTTAGGTATAGAAGAGCCAAAATATGGAATCAACCCAAGTGTCTAATGGAATAGTATTAAGCCTTTAAGACTATGAATAGCCTTTCATTTGCAACAACATGTATGAACCCGGAGGAAATTATGTTAAGTGAAATAAGCCAGGTGTAGAAAGACAAATACCACATGATCTCACTTACAAGTGGAATCTAAAAAAAAAAAAAAAAAAAAATCAAACTAAAAGAAACAGAAGACAATGTTCATTTCCAGGAGCTGGTGGGGGTGGAGAGTAGTTGGAAAGATATTGGCAAAAGGATACAAAATTATAAATATTTGAAATCCGCTCTTTAAATTTATCAGTAGATACCTGATCATCAGCCTACCCTATGCTTAATTACTTCAACGGATATTCTATGGCTTGTTGTTATCTTAGTTTCCTTAAATTGGGTACTTAAAGGGAACATATCAGCAGTGTGTAAAATAAACAGGGAAGAATAATTATCTTTCTGGTTTATAATACTTTCATTGATATAGCCCATGATTTCAATAAATATTTTCACTTCAATATTAGACTTTCAACTCACATTGCAATTCAATTGACTTAAAACTTCTAGGAATTTTTTCACATAAACTATCATTAAACCAGTTATATCACAACCTAATTACTATCACAAACATATGACCTGATCTATTGAACTCCAGTTTTGGGACTTTGAATCATATAAACCAGTTAGAATTTCTCACATTTGTTGCAGGCTATTGTTTAAAAATTAAACAGATACAGAAATTAATGGAACACAAAGCCCTTAGAAAAACATATTCGCATTTTATATTCTCACAAAATTCTTTGGTTAGGTATCACCAATTCCAGCTGCCCATAGGATGAGATGGAGCTTCAGAGAAATTAAGTTAATTGACCTCAATACCATGGGTCAGAAACTTGACGGTTCATAGCATACAGATTGAGTTGTTATTTATCGAGGCTATCCAACTTGAAATTAAGAGACTAGGGATCCTGATTCCTCTAAATCCCATGTCACTGAATGTCAGTAAGTTATCTGTGTATGCATTACAAATGTTTATGGATTTTTATTGTGTCATATATGATTTTTATCTTTCCTACATTTTTTATCCACAAGTTTGACTATCAGGTTCCTGTTTCTTCATTCATAATGTTGATTAAAATATACAGTACAATTATATGCTGTAAAAATCTTTCACACTCTCTTCAGCGATGTTAACTCCTTAAATACTCTCCTACTATGGTTATTTGATTACCTACCCAAACCAGTGAATTATATTTCAATCATCTTTTATGCATATTTATCATCATAATGTCTTAAAACATTTTTATTTTTGCTTTGGCCCAACATAAAATTTCCTGTGTCTCTCTATCTGCAAGCATCTATTTGCCAGTATATTGGACAGAGAAGGAGTGCTGGAATGTTAATACTTTAGGGGTGTCCCTTAACCAGTGAGAGCTTGGAATTGGTGAATTTCCCAGCTCCCTTGCCCCTCAGTTGGACAATCCTGAAGTATGATACACAGTGTCTCAAGGGGTTCCCTGCATGATTGAGCCCCAGTTCCTTCCAGCAGTAACCTGATCCCTATATTTGTGCCATACTTTATTGGCTGCTTTATTTTTCTTATTTCACTTCCCTACTTTGTTTCCTGGGATCACTTTCCAAATAAACTGCTTGCACCTAAATCCTTCTCTTCAGATCTACTCTTGGGGCAACCCAAACTAAGGCAATAATCAACAGCCTCAAATGAACCTAGCATCCTGCCATACTTTTTTTTTTTTTTTTTTTTCCCAAGTTGGGCTCTAAGTCTCTACAGGAACTATTAAAACCTTTTATCAAAGCTCTGGCCCATCCTCTTTCTGCAGCTCTCTCAGATGATCTTGTTCCCTACCTTACAGAAACAAGTGCAATTATCAGAGTAGAACTTCTTTCACTTCCTATTTCCAAACACCATCAGACCCGCATATGTAGCCACCGTTCTCATTCCCTTCTTTTACATTTGAGTTTCCCTTCTTTTAATTAAAGTCATTCCCACTACCTACATTTTGAACTTTATTCTCTTACTTTTGCTCAAGCATCTGAGTCCATCCAATTTCTAGTATTTGTTTATTTTGAGACGGAGTCTCACTCTGTCACCAGGCTGGAGTGCAGTGGTGCAATCTGGTCTCACCACAACCTCTGCCTCCCGGGTTCAAGGAATTCCCCTGCCTCAGCCTCCCAAGTAGCTAGGACTACAGTTAACACTGTTGACCATACTATCCGTTTGTAATTTTTCTTCCTTTGGCTTCATGATGCCACTCTATTCTAATTTGCCTTCTATTTCTATGACCATTGGTAATTTTTTCTTTGCAGGTCCATCCTCCTCCACCCTATCATTATGTACTAGATGTCAAGACCTAGTTCATTACCAATCATCTTCTACTCTACTATCTCTCACCAGAAAACACATCAGTCATCATGCCTTGAATTGCAATCTATTTATCAATGATTCTGATATGTATATCTCTAATTCAGGCACTTGTTCTGAATTCCACAGCTATATAACCATCTGCCTATTGGATGTCTCCACTTGCATGCTGCAAAATCTCCTTAAACATTATATGCCAAGGTTTAAAGTTTGATCTTCTCCCTCAAACTAGTACTCTATCAGTATTCCCCAGATCAGTAATTAGCATCACCATCCCTCATATTTGTTATCTTCATCTCCGCTATGGACTGAATTTTGTGCCCCACAAAAGTTCGTATGTTGAAGCCTAATTCCCAATGTGATGATATTAAAAGATGGGGCATTTGGGAGGTAATTAGGTCAAGAGGGTAGAGCCCTCATGAAATGAGTCCCCTTAAAATGATCTGAAGAGATCAGTGTTCTTTTCCACCGTGTGAGGGCACAGTGAGAGAGCACCAAGTATGAACCAGGAAGCCTGCCCTTAAAAGACACTAAATCTGCTAGTTACTTGATATTAAACTTCCCAAACTCCAGAAATGGGAGACATAAATTTCTGTGGTTTATAAGCTACCCAGTTTATGGTATTTTGTTACAGCAAACCAACTAAAACCCTCTCTCTTCCTTCCCATGTTTAATGTATTGCAAAGTCTAATCTGTCACACATACATTCTCTGTCTCCTGAATATGTATGCTTCTTCCTGTCTCCATAGCCAGAACCCAAATCTGTGTTGCCATTAAATGTGACCAAAAATACCGCAATAGCTTTTCACTTGGCCTCTGGGCAGTATTTATGGAACTCTCTCTTTTATGTACTACTGGAAAAATTATCATTTCTATCTTTTTTAATTGACGCATAATAGATGTACTTAGATTGGGGGTACATGTGATAATTTAACATATCCGTATAATTTGTAAAGATCGCATCAGTGTACTTGGGATATCCATAATCTTAAATATTTGTCTATGCTAGATACATTCAAATTATTCTCTTCTAGCTACTTTGAAATATACGGTAGTAAAAACATATCTGATTATGTTACCTTCATTCGTAAAACCACTCAAAGACTTTCTCATTTTTCTTAGAATAAAGAACAAAATTTCAACATGATCCTTTATAATCTGGCCTTCATAGACCTCTTAACTGTATATTCTACTTTGTCTTTTATTCAAGTACTTGTAGAAACAAATTTCGCTTCATATTTTCTAAAGTAATTCAGAGCTATTCTTTATTCTTGTTCCTCCTCCAATGGAATAAAATCCTTCACTGACTCTTCCATAAATATTTTGAAAACTGGGTTGTTAATATAATGCATTTGGGCCACTTTGGTGAAATTTATTTGTCTGACTCAATTATACATCAAATACCCTCTGACTCATAAATATGAGATAGGAATATCCACCAGTCACTTTCAAATTCACGCTTTAAACTTAATCTCTCTAGTCTCACCCTCATTTGATTTAGACTATCTCTAAGAAAGATTGCTCACTTCTACTTAGAGGTCCCTGAAACTCAAACGTGCCTCAAGGTACTAGGCTGGCATGACAGCTGAAAGAAATCTGCTGAAGCCTATGTTGGAGAAAGATTTCTACTAGGCGTTGAATTGACATTGCTCTTGTTTGCACACTGTAGGGGCTCAGAAAACGATACCCCAAAGTATGGCACTTTGGCATGCTGAAACTTTGAACTAAAGAACACTGGAAGGCCTCAAAAGCAGCCTCAAAACCAAGGTCCCTCTGACCTTCTCCTCCCCTCCTGTCTTTAACTCCACATTCTTCCCTGAAGTGAGTCATAGTAACCAGAATTCTTCTTCTTCAAGGTAGGTCATAGAAACCAAAAACCCTCTCCTCCAAAGCCAACCATAAAAGCCAGAATTATAACTCTGTATTTTGCCCACCTTTCTCTCTATTAGCTAGCCATAAAAAATTCTCTGACATACTTTTGTTTGATAGTAGATCATAAGACCCTCATTCAAGTGGGGTCCTACCCCATGTGTAGGAGGAAGGAATTCTACACAGACAGGCCTGGCTGGTTGTCCCTAGTCTATTACTATCAGATCATTCCCTTTTTGTCCAATCACATTCCTACATGGCTGTCTACTCTTTATCAACTCTAAGCATAAAAACAGTTTTCCTTTGGGTCATTGGGTCTTCATTTTTGAAGGCTCCCATGTCACCTAAAACTTTTATTAGATAAATATCTCATGCTTTTCTCTTGTTAACCTATCTTTTGTTATAGGAATGTCTGCTATGACCTGTATAAGGAGGAAGGAAAGGGATCACAGCCTTTCTGCTCCTATAACATGCATGTTGATGTAACTGTTATACCACCACCTCCAATTCACTGCAGAAAAAAGAAACAAAGTTGTTTGTTTTTAGTTTGAAAGTAAATAATTTTCATTCCAAAAGAAATCTTTTTTTTTTTTTTTTTTGAGACGGAGTCTTGCTCTGTCACCCAGCCTGGAGTGCAGTGGCGCGATCTCGGCTCACTGCAAGCTCCGCCTCCCAGGTTCACGCCATTCTCCTGCCTCAGCCTCCCGAGTAGCTGGGACCACAGGCGCCCGCCACCACGCCCGGCTAATTTTTTTTGTATTTTTAGTAGAGATGTGGTTTCACCGTGTTAGCCAGGATGGTCTCGATCTCCTGACCTCTAGATCCGCCCGCCTCGGCCTCCCAAAGTGCTGGGATTACAGGCGTGAGCCACCGCGCCCGGCCCCAGAAGAAATCTTGTAACACTTTTAGAGGTGTATTTTCCTGAAAAAGGCAAAATTGTATGTTTCCTTTTAAAACGGTCAAATGTCTCCTTTTTTTCCCCTTCATAAAGCATATACTAAGTGCTTACTATGTGCCAGACATGCTATTAACTCCATAAAGAACAGAGACGAGAATGCATTAGTCCACATTATCAAGTAATTTGGTTTAGTGAAGCATTTGTTTGACAAGATAAAAATGGTTTAGACACAGAACTGGGGCTCAGCTCACACTGGTCTTTTTAAGAGGATAATCAAAAAACACCTTCTCTGTAAATTAGGATTAAATCAGCTTCTAGCCTAGAGGCTCTGCCAAGTATATTGGTTATCTCCACACAAAGAAGGCTTTGTGGAGTCAACACCATGGTAACTGTCTGTTTGCTTCTCTGTCTGTGAAGATTTTAAGGGAGGCCTGGACACCAGTTGGCACGTAGTTCTGATAATTCAAATCAATTCAAACAACAGGATGTGAAATTCTACAGAAAGGTCTTTCCTCATTCAATTTTTTGTCTGACTTTATAAATTTGGAAAGGGGTCACATACAGTGCGTGAACTTCCCTTTTATACAAAGATCGTATGGAGAGTGATTACGCTCGTTTTTTGATGTACAGATTTTTAAAAAGGCAATTTCAAATTTTACTAGGGCAGTGGTGAGGAGAGCGTTTTGTCTAAGGAAAATAACCTATTCATAAGCACAGAGGTTAATGTTATACTTCTTTTCTAAAATGGAACAAAGAAACATATTAATGAGTTTGGACTCTTCTCACCTGTTGGAGTTCTTCCCTTTCATTTCTATCATTATTGTGATATCTTGATTTCATGGGAAACAGGTGGACACTGAACCCAATTCTTACACAATTCAAGCTCTGAGCTATTCCTAACCTAATCTTAATATTTATTTTATGTTGCTTCCATTTGGACTTCTTCCTTCAAACATCTCTGATTTCCTTGCTAAAACTCTTTTTGTCCACACATAATGTGCAGTCAGCCTACACTCTAATACTTAACATGTACCACCATCTCTTAGAGTTCTGGGAGTTAACTGTCAGCTACTAGCATTGTTTTCTCTCCAATATTCTGCCAGTGGATAGCCTCATCTCTTTATGCCAGCAATGAGGATGGAAGGGTGAAGAGGAAGCAGAGGCAGGGTTTCAAGGCCTCCCATGTACTCTCCCTGAGTGCCAATGGCCTACATCCAACGCTTAGTTTTAGGTTCAGTGACATTTTCAATGCACAATGAACTCAGTCTCCTTCCCGGATCCTACTCAGACCCTGGCTTCCAAGAAGCAATTGCACGTTTATTTTATTCCTTATCAATTTAGCAACTATCGCTTCATCACTTTTTGTGGTTTGTCGTGTAGTTTTCATGTATTTCACTGCTACTAGATATTCCTCAGATATCTTTGCTGAGATGCATGGCAAATGAACAGACACCTCTGATTTAAATGTCTTCATGCTTTAAATTGGGTGCTATCTACTCTTCCCAGTGCTTTGCAGATGGCATTTTCTATCATACTTTGCACTAAGTGAGCCTGGGTATTTAATTACGAACGAAATATATCATTCAGATGCAACTCAGTTACCTTCTTTAAAACCCTCAAGGAAAACACTGAAGACTTATTTTCAATGCCATATTCAACGTTGGATTCTGTACATGTATTTTTGCTTCTTCATAAAATTACTCGTTTCTAATAATTCTTTTTTCCCCACTTTAACAACTCACATAAAACCATTGCTAATGAACTTATGTATCATAAGTTGCTCATAATGTGTCCCTACACCTTTGGAATCAGTCCACTAATATATTCCTTAGTGCTTAACTTACTTTCCTCATATACTTAACTCTGTACTTAACGTACTTCCGAATGTTATCAGACTCTATCCCTTAAATGCAGTCTAACTTTACCTAGCTTAAAATCTCCTTTAGCTAATAAAAAAATAACTTCTCATTCTCTGTTCACAAAATGATTATTTCTATAATTATTGATGAATATTCTGTCCTCTATTCTTCAAGTATATCTTAAAACCTCAATTTGTTATTATTTATGGTTAGCAGTGAAGCGACAATTTTTTTCTCCTTTACAAATATACTCATCAGAAACCCCTGAAATTAAAACTTGTAAAGTCCCATCATACAGGGCAAGTAAGTCTTTGATTTTTTTTTTTCTTGGCAAAAGTGTATTACTACACCAAGACAATTTTTCAAAAAGACCTTCCATTTTTTGGAAGTTTCAAAATATCAAAAGCCTGGGGCATATATACCAAATATTCAGAGAGTGACAATTTTTCTCAGTATTATATTGTACAAACAGACTCAGCCTCATCCAGTTGAATTTCCCATAAAAATGATGTAAATTAGGTTAATTACATCCCATATGGTAAATACTGAGAGATACCTGTGTATATAAATGTTTAAAATAAATTCAAAGGCAAAAACACATACAAACATCTCAAAGAACTAGAGAAATGTTTGCCATTTAAGAAGTTGTCAATTTTGAATTGTCAATAGTAAAACATTACATGAATTAGTGCTATATAACTGTGCTAATTATGTCAGAAGAGCCTCCTGATGGGCACTGTGTTCTGTTAATTTTCTTTACAGTGACTGCCACATAACCTATTAAACTAAGATGACACATTTACATAAATTTTAATTCAGTCACTTTCAATATACAAGTTGCAACTCATCATTCCCAAATGTGTAAACTTTGAGAGTGGAAGTCCTCCAAGCTCCCAGACTTAACTAATTTGATTAGTGAACTAGGTTTATGAATGGCCATTTTACATATTTAAACATCTTAGCATGTAGAATTTCATAAAAACTTATAAGCCTCATCCTTAGAAACCTGAAAGGAAAATGCTGATGCCTGTGAAATACGTTAACCATTGCAGGGTCCCAGGGCTCTAGGCCTAGACCAGATAATTTATGAAACCAATTCTTAATGAACATTTTAATTAGCTAGGAAGCAAGTTTTAACATTAATAGGAACAAAACTATAATTATTCTTTGTTGGTATTAAAGAAGAAATAATTTTGGAGGTAAGATTTTCCAACTTTGCTGTATTTTTAAAAATCACCTTTCTTCTTCAGAGTTTTCCGAAGTGAGAAGACATTTTAATTCCATATTACTATACAGGCACTTTCCTGACCCTAAATCCCCAACCATTTGAAGATGACCTACTATTCATCTTCCAAGGCTCAGTTCAAGATGCACATCATCTGTGAAGGTTTTCTTGATCAACCTCTCTCTACTCTTCCCCTTTCAACTTTCCTTCTGGGAAAACTTGTCCCTCTCTGCTTGTTTCCACATGGCATTTGCTTTAAAAAAAAATCGAGTAATAGAATACAAATTCAATTTGCATCAAATAGATCTTATAAAAATATCAAATGAAATTCAGTATAAATCCTATTAGTTCTAAAAATATTTTTAGGACTTTGAGATGCATTGACTACATGGCAATTATTATATTTTTGGAATTACAGAATATTATTAAAGGGGAAATCCTATTTAACCAAAAGAAAACAAGCTAATATTTAGATAAATAGTTCCCTCTCCAAATCAAGATAGTTTGTATACACACACACAACACATACACGTTTGTATAGTGTAAGTGTGTCTCCCTCTGTGGAAGGGGGGAAGATAGGGCCACATGATTGTCTTGTATTTTGTAATATGTGTGATACGTGTGTGTTTGTGTGTATGTTTAAGTTGCTTTAAATGTAAAGTAAATGTGCATTTAAAAATATACTGAGCTGAGGGCCAGGCGTGGCGGCTCATGCCTGTAATTCCAGCACTTTGAGAGGCCGAGGCGGGCAGTTCACTTGAGGTCAGGAGTTCAGGACCAACCTGGCCACCATGACGAAACCCCGTCTCTACTAAAAATACAAAAATTAGCCAGCTGTGGTGGTGGGCACCTGTAATCCCAGCTACTCGGGAGGCTGAGGCAGGAGAATTGCTTGAACCAGGGAGGCAGAAGTTGCAGTGAGCCAAGATTGTGCCACTACATTCCAGCCTGGGCAACAGAACGAGACTCAGTCTCAAAAAAGAAAAAAAAATAACATAGCTATATATGTGTGTGTAAATCAGGCACCACAGGTTTTAATCCCTAATTTTTATCTTTCTGGTATTTTCTTGGGTAAATTAATTTCTTCGATCTTCAGCGACTTCTTGCTTTAAATTGTAAAAATTTAAAAGCTGTTATCAAACTGGTCCTGAAGTAAAAACATACTGTAAACCAAAAATAAAAGGCTAACTCCCCCTCCAAAGGGACTTCCTCCTCAGCCAGGGCTCTTAAAATTTAACCTGAAAGACTGGTTCAGGCCAAGAAGGGAAGTGGGGGTCAGACATGCCTCATTATACCTCTCTGACACTTACATCAACACAGACTTTAAGTCTGATAAGAAGCACTCTACAGCCTCTTCTCTCTGAAGCCTGCTAGCTAAAAGCTTCATCTACATGATAAAACTTTGGTATCCACAATGTCTTATCTCAACCCAAACATTCCTTTCTATTGATCCCAGGTCTTTAGACAAACTCAACCAATTGTCAACCAGAAAATGTTTAAATTTACCTACAGCCTGGAAGCCCCCACCCCCACCCAGTTGTCCTGCCTTTCTGGACCAAACCAATGTATTTCTTTTTTTTTTTTTTTTTTTTAATTTTATTTTTTTCAGACGGAGTCTCGCTCTGTTGCCCAAGCTGGAGTGCAGTGACACAATCTTGGCTCACTGCAACCTCCGCCTCCCAGGTTCACACCATTCTCCTGCCTCAGCCTCCCGAGTAGCTGGGACTACAGGCGCCTGCCGCCACGTCTGGCTAATTTTTTTTCCCTATTTTTCATAGAGACGGGGTTTCACTGTTTCAGCCAGGATGGTCTCGATCTCCTGACCTTGTGATCCGCCCGACTCAGCCTCCCAAAGTGCTGGGATTACAGGTGTGAGCCACCGCGCCAGGTCAAACCAATGTATTTCTTAAATGTACTTGATTGATGTCTCATGCCTCCCTAAAATGTGTAAAACCAAGCTGCACCCCAACCACCTTGGGCACATGTCGTCAGGACTTCCTGAGGCTGTGTCACAGGCGCGCGAATTCCACCTTGGCAAAAATCAACTTTTTTTTTTTTTTTTTTTTTTTTTTTTTTTTTTTTTGAGACAAAGTCTCATTCTATCACCCAGGCTGGAGTGCAGTGGCACAATCTCACTGCAACCCCCGCCTCCTGGGGACAAGCAATTCTCGTGCCTCAGCCTCCCGAGTACCTAGGATTAGGCAAAATCAACTTTCTAAATTAACTGAGACCTGTCTCAGATTTTCTGGGTCTACAATACAAATGCTTTTTAAAAATTACTTGTAAATATGTTTACTTACCTCTCTAATTAAAGAGGTTTTGACCCAAGATACAAAAACTGAGATCAGCTTTGCTTATATTGTGGCTTTCATATTCCAATTACATTAGTCTATTCATCTAGCAATCAAATTAAATAAAATCTAAAGATGTTATAATTCCCAGTTATAATAAAAAGCCTATAAACTCTTCAGTGGTTTACACAGCACCTGGAACAATGTGACAGATGACAGAGGACTCTGTCTTCAGTTAGTGGAAACTGCTATATTAACATTCCTATCAAAAATCTATTTTTCCTTATATTTGCATGGTCTCAAATGTATTTCTAGTTTTATATGTGTAATTTTAAGCACATCACTCATAAAATAATATGTTTCAGTACAGTAAAATTTAATGATTTCAGATTGCACTGAAAGGCATCTTTAAAAGATACTAAAAAATCAATTTCTGTGGCGTTTACCTTGTCCTAAAATATGCCTATTTAACATGTGCCTCAAAAGCTGAATTCTAGTCCAAGCACAAAATATTGTCCTTAAAATTGTACATCTTCTTTATTATCAATTATGGCATACCGAATTATATACTTAGTATGTTTAAAAATTCTGCTTTTTAAAATACATGCCCTTGCATACAAATTGAATGATTTAATGTTTTAAGCTATTAATGCCAAAAATGTCTGAGTTATTTGGTATTGATATTCATCTTGGCACCCATAGAATCGTTGATTGCAGTGAAGAGAATAAAACTGCTGTAAAATATTGCTTCTCTGCACAAAGTAAAACTTACCTAAAATATTTTGACGTCTGGTAGGTAGAAATGATGTTAAAATAATCTTCCTACCTTAATTTGGTATTAAATCTTAATCATTTCAAAATTCATTGGTAATATTTATTTCTAAAGTGTGACATGATTGAACAGATGTCACATTTATAAGTTTTGTTTAAATATCTTTGAGAGAAACAACCTTAAAAATTAAAAGGTAAGAAACCCCCACAAATTCTAAAATGTCAGATACTGCTACATTAGAGGAATTAGTTATAAAGCCAAGGAGTGTGAAAACACGTGGGCAAAAACTGCATGACCCAGAGGATGGGAAATAAAATGCTGCTAAGCCACAGATGCCTAAAGCCTATTTTTCATTTTCAATAAATTGAAAGTCCCTTTGAAACACACTTCTGTGCAAGAAAATCACCTTAACACAGGTTAATAGAAATATTCTCTTAAATGATAGATGAAATCCTGTCAGAGTAATAAATCTATGATCATACAATATAATATACTCAAGTTGAAAATCCTGAGTCATATATTTTAAAATCAAATGTAAAGTTTATTTAAAATGATGAAACCCAAAAGCTGCCTATGTCCTTATGATAAATAAATGTGGGTCACTAGAGGGCGCACATTCCCTTTCAGAGCTTGTCTTCAATTTGGCTTCTTTCGTTTTCTTATCTGCATAACGAAAATATGGTGACAAATGAAATTTTCATGGAAGTTTTACTTACACAGAAATATAAAATGTCCAAAGATATAGATAAAATAGTGTACAAATAATATGTAAGTAAGACACTCTCAGATGCACTGTTAAAATGCCTTCAGCCATTTTGAGGTACACACAAAAGTACCTTGAAGCCATAATACATAGAATCCCTTGAGAAAATATGTCCACAGTTTGGAGAGTCATGCTTAGTTCAAATAATTTAGTAAAATTTTCTGGATTATGTAGCAAGTAGTTTTCCTTCCCAAGTTCATTGATTTTAACTAATTTTTGAATGTTTAGTTAAATATGTGGACACTCGTACTCTAAAAATCTGCTTAAAATTATACTCCTAAATCACCTAAAGTTTTTTAAAATGCCAAACTTTCATTCAAATTTAAAGAACAGAAAAGAGACATATATATCATTTTAAGCATCTTAATCAGGTCACAGGCTTTCAAAAAGAAAACTTAATCGCTCAAGAAACCTTGTATGTTATCTGTAATAGCTTTTATTTTTGCAGATTGATCATGAATAGAAAAGTTGAAGATCTTCATTTAGTTTCAATACACAGTGAAGCACTGAGTCAAGACTCAAGAACAGGTCTGTCTGAATCCAAAGATTTCTACAACACTACATTTTTCTTTTGTTCCAAATAAACGAGAAACCCATCTTAAAAAAAAAATAAGGATAAGTCAATATAGAATTACTGTTCATTGCTACACAGTACAGTAATTTAGTGGTTTTGACTACGCTATCTTGGATTATATGAGAATTTGATTGAAGTCTCTAATATCAGGATATTAATTCTGAAATTTTTCATTAAAATATGATCCTTAGTTGTATACTTTGTACCCTAATGGCAATATAAAATAATTTATTTCCCAATTTATTATTACCTTGGAATTTCCCTTAATTTCCTAAAATCCTCAACTTTCTAATCTGATGATACAATTTCTCACATCAGAGAAAATATTAAGCATAGATGAAAAAAGTTACTACTTATTATATAATGTGGTTAAGACCATGGTGAGCTCCAAAAGTCTTGCACTTGGAAAAAAAAGTTCAATTATATGGAAATTCCACTTATTTTTGATGCTGAAAAAGACATCTAAATTTTAAAGAAATCTTTTCAGTGAAAAAGGTCTCTGTATTTAAAGATAATCAAGTGTTGCCATGGGACACTAGAGTCAATGATACTTCAGAATGTAGAACAGACATAATCTAGAATAAGTGCAGCTTCCATAGACTTTGGCAAATTCTTAAGGAGTCCCAGTCAAGCATTTTATTTCAGCTAAATAATTTGATGAAATCACCTTTAACTTATTACAACATAGCAAGGCGAGGAATTTCCGAAGGCAACACCCTAAGCTAGGCTGTCTGGGTTCAAATCCTAGCTGCGATGCTTCCTGTAAACTATGTGACCATGAGCAAGTCACTTGAAATTTCTATGACACATTGTTATCATTGGCAAAGAGTGACAATAATAAAACTTACTTCGTAATGCTATTTTAAGTGTGAAATACATTAATATGTAGCAAATACTTGGTAGAAGCCATATACATATTAGCTATTGTTATTAATATCTTCCATGATCCTTTTTTAACTGGCTTTAAGCCCTATGCCATTTCTCACTTTCTCACGTGTGAGAGTAGTCATATTTGTTTTAGTGTCTTCTTAATGACTGATAAAGTAAAAGCCACAATTGGAATAACAAGAATAAAAACTGCAAACACAGCTATAACAAAGACAATGAAACATATAAACAAAAATCAACAGCAAAATAGTCTCATTTTACCCATTAGTGCCGGAATCCCCAAAGTATGTTCTATGGGACAAATATGGTCTGCCATCTAATTTGGTAAATAAAATTTTACTGGAACTCAGTCATGCTCATTCATTTATACATTGTTTATGGCTGCTTTCTAGCTATAGCAGCAGAGTTGAGTAGTTTTAAAATAAATTTTATGATACACAAAACCTAAAATATTTACTCTCTGGCCCTTTAGAGAAAACTTTTCTTTCCCCCTTCCCAGTCTATGAAACCAAGGTAAGATGGCCTCTCTCTCCCAACTCTCAAGTGAGATCAAAATGATATGGTTCACAGTAGCCATATCATATTTCTCTCTCTCAAAAATATGCAATGGCTCCCCATGACCAGAAGGTTTAAGTCTACATGCCTTAATCTTTTATTGAATACCTTTAGTTATTATGAACTCAACCTACCTTTTCAACCTCATTCCTTACTTCTAAACTTCCTTTACTTCATACTTCTGCTGGAGGCAAACAAGAATACTTAATCCCATGTAAGTTTTGTTCGCATACAGGCTTTCCCCTGCAATGAATTGTCACTTTCCTCATCTTGAGCCCAATGCTTCCCTACTCTTTAATTATCCAGTCAGATGCTAATTTTCCCATAAGTCTTCCATGCCTCTCAAGCAGGAAGTGAACTTTTCTTCCTTAAAACTTTTCTAACATTTTATTAGTACTTCTTCATGACAGTTTATGCTGGGTGCAAGCTTCCTGAGGGAAAGCTTAGATTTACAGTTAAAGTAACTGGAGTGTTTTACATACCATAGCAATCCATTAGATATTAGTTGAGTGAATAGGAAAATTAGCATGAAAACTAATGTTGCTGTCTCTTCTTTCTTGAAATGATGTGGACTCATAATGACTACAGAAGTGTTCAAAGAAACCCACCATGCATTGGATGATGACTTGGACCCTGTGGGAGGCAATTTAAACTTTAAACTCTCTCAGTGTGAAAGGTCCTTGAGTTTAAGAGAAGTCAACATGCTTGTGGGTCTTTCAAGTTTAAATAACTTCCAACCCGGGTTCCAAAAGGATCTAGTGCAATGTGGAAAGCCATTTCAATCTGACGTGTACTTAATGCCCCACTGCCAGCATCATGACCTGTTTCAATCCATCTACTGTGTTAGTAAGCATCACTATGAACTTTAGTCAAAACAGAAGTAATACTCATTGCTTAACAAAGCCGGTTTTTAGTCAGCTAGCACTTACATAACAAAATACCATAGACTGGGTGGCTTAACCAACAGCCACTTATTTCTCGCAGTTCTATAGGCTACAATTCCAAAATTAAGGTACCAGCAGGATCAGTTCCTGGTGACAGCCTTCTTCCTGGCTTGTAGACAGCCTCTGGTATAGTTTGGATATTCGTCCCTTCCCAAATCTTATGCTGAATTGTAAACTCCAGTGCTGGAAATGGGGCCTGGTGGCAGGTGTTTGGATCATGGGAGCGGATCCCTCACGGCTTAGTGCTGTCTTTGCGATAGTGAGTTCTCCTGAGAGAACTCACTTACAAATGTGTGCCACCTCCCCCTGCACTGTCTCACTCTCCTTGTCCCATTCTTCCATGTGATGTGACTGTTTCCCCTTTGCCTTCCATCATGATTGAAAGCTTCCTGAGACCTCCCCAGAAGCAGACGCCACCATGCTTCCTCTACAGCTTGCAGAACCGTGAGCCAGTTAAATCAATTTTCATGTAAGTCACTCAGTTGCAGGTATTTCTTTATAACAGTGCAAGAACAGCCTAAGACAACCTCCTTCTTGCTGTGTCCTCCCAAGGCAGGGAGAAAGAGCCAGCAAGCTCTTTGTTGTGTCTTCTTATAAGGGCCCTAATCTCCTCAGAAGAGCCCTATCTTCATGACCTCATCTAAATCAAATTATCTTCCAAAGTCTCCATTTCCAAATTCCATCACATTGGAGATTAGAGCTTCAATATAAGAATTTAGGGAGGACACAATTCAGGCCATCCCAGCCTGGCATCATTTTTATATCTCTGTGGTAGCATAATATGTGTTCATTTGTAAAGAGACAGGTTTCTGACCAGGGAAGACTTTACTAAGAATACTCTCAGAAGATGTCAGAATAAGAATAATATATAAATGTGGTCATGGGAAGATACCATCCCTGAATTAATAATTGGAAACTCAACTTTCTCCTGGGGAAAGGAGACATTGTTTTTTAAATGTAAACGTTCTTCAAGACAAACACATGTAATATAATTTCCACAGTGTGAGGGCAAACAGGGAAGGCCATATACATTCCATTTCAGGGGTGACGAAATAGATTCTTGGGGAGATTAAGTGGCTTAAGTCACATAGTTTATGAGCAGAAGATGCACGGCCAGAACCCATCTGTGCAGTAATATGCCCATCTGCTCTCAGATCTATTCCCCACATTTCTTCTGTACTTTCTGTATTAGAGGGATATACATTTCCCAACACCACTTGCCCTCCTAATTGTTCATTTGGAGGCAATGGCAGAATATTGGAAGGTGGGAGGAAGAGAAAAGCCAAGGTCTTTTTTCTTCTCCAACTACCTTGGGTGGCATTTCTAGAGCAGATGTATCTCTGCTGTGGCTTCTGTTTTCTCTGGATAGCTAGCTCCCTCTTCAACAATCCAATTTTCTGCCTGGCAGTCCTAACTTTAGTTTAATCTCTGTTAGAAAGCCCCAGCTTCTGAGCTCTGGTAATATCACTTTTTCTGTATTGTTTCTCCAGCTCTAGGGATATTAGCAGCTTCCTTACGTTACTAGTGCTTTGAGTTGCCTCTCCATCCCCTGCGCTGCGTCTCAGTTTTCTACTACCTGCTTAGCCAATTCCTTATATTACGTTTCCTCTCTTTAAATCACAGTGATTTTGTTTTTCTGACAAGACTCGCACAAAACCTGGAAAATCCCTCATCAACATCCAATAAATATTTATTCAATACCTACTATGAGCTGACTTCTGCTTTATGCATTATAGGTGTACAGATGACAAGAAATGATTTCTTCCCTCAAGGCGTTTACTGGAGATACAGGCATGCAAAAATAAAGTCATTACCATACAATTTGGCAAGTGTTTTAATAGAAGTGTTAAAAAGGCTGAGAAGTGGCCTGGCACTGTGGCTCATGCCTCTAATCCCAGTACTTTGGGAGGCCTTAGCAGTCGGATCATGAGGTCAACAGATCAAGCCCATCCTAGCCAACACGGTGAAACCCCATCTCTACTAAAAATACAAAAATTAGCTGGGCATGGTGGCCCTTGCCTGTAGTGCCAGCTACTTGGGAGGCTGAGGCAGGACAATCGCTTGAACCCACGGGGCAGAGGATGCAGTAAGCTGAGATCGCGCCACTGCACTCCAGACTGGCAACAGAGTGAGACTCCGTCTCCAAAAAAAAAAAAAAAAAAAAAAAACACACAAATGGCTGAGAACTGCCTCTGCAAGGTTAGATAACCAGAAAGACAAGGTGGTTAGTAGCACGGTGGCAGGTAACATGGGAATGGGAAAAAGAAAGGTATCTAAAGAGAATCTTAGGCAGAGAAAACAGTAGGTACAAAGAAACAGAAGCTTAAGAAAGCACAGAGCATTTGGAGATCAAAGAGTGGTTAATTTAAGCTAAAGCATAGGGCAGTGCGGAACAAAGTTCAGACTTTAGCAGACAGTGAACTGTTTGCTATTAGTCTGTAAGAAGAAAAGAGTTTTCACCAGAGTATAAATCAACTGAGTCACTGAACAAACGATTTGATCTTATTTTGCTTTTAATTGCCGAACTTTCTTGACAAAGGAAGGAGTACATTGATTTATATTCTGGCTCAAGCTTCTTATCTCAATTGTGGACTGGTACTAAAAAGTTTGCAGATTATTTGGAGTAGCACTGGTATTTTTTTTAAAAAAGGAGCAGAGGAGAAGGGAGTGAAGCTGGAGAGGTAGGCAGCTAAAGATCACAAAAGAATTTCTACGCCATGCATTTCAAGATTTATGGGCAGGGGAATAATCTAATTAAAACTGCATTTTAAGATATCCCTCGGGAGGCTGTAAAAAGCATGGATAAGAGAGGTGAGATCAGAGGCAGAGAAATCAGTTAAAAATTTCATACAGAAAAATTTCAGTTTTAACTAGAGTGAAGGCAGCAAGGATGTAGAAAAAAATAACAAACTAAAGAGAATTTAACAGGTACATTTGGAGGGATTTAGTGATGTGGCAGATATCAAGACCACTGTGAATGGCTGCACAGGTTGCTCACTGCACAAGTTCAGGATGTACCATTCTTAGAGACTATGATGTGAATGACCCTCTCTAGAGTTATACGATCTAAACTCCAAAACTATATTTTAGATTCCAGTCAGAAATCCAGGAATACATAGCCTATAAGCATTTGAATTATACAGGGATGAACATCAGGAGAGAGGGAGAGGTAGAAATATCAATTTGTGAATCAAAAATATAGGTGATGATAAAGATTATAAATGATATTTCCCCAAAAAATAAAGCATCATAAGAAGAAAATAAAATCACAATTTGAGTCTTATGTAGACTGACATTAAAGGGCAGGAATAGAAGACAGGGAAGATATACTCTGAAAGAAAACAGGAGAGAACAATGTCCCAGAAACTGCAGGAGAGAAAAATTTCAAGAAGGGACTAATCATTTCTGTCAAGCACAAGACAAAGGTCAAAAAGGGAAAAGAACTGAAGAGTGACCTTTGGAGCTGGCAATTAAGGAGCTCTCTGGCGACCTTGCTGAGAGCAGTTTCAGTGCTCGATGTAGAGTATGAGAGGGTAAAGGAAAGAATCAGGAGTCCGTAAGGGAATACAGATAGTTCAGGTCTTCTGATTAAAAACTGACTTTTATTTGCACTCAACTATGCTTCTCCTTTTAGATGAATAAGTATGAGTACCATTTTCTTCACTCAAAAAACGAACAAAATTATATGTAACAGCTCTGGGAATGTGATCCTGTCTTCTTTCGTGTTGATATTCTTTTACGCCTTGCATTCTGGAAGAATACATTTTCACATAGCTACTGTAGCCAGACATCCAAAGATATAGTATCTCATAGGACCAGTTCTCAATATAGTGCATTTCTATTCACAGCTTGAATTGAGCATCTACTACACAGAAGACATCACACAGGTAACGAACAAGAAATGGATCCTGGCCCAGGGAAGCTTTAATTCTAGTGGATGAAACAAGCATATGGATAGATCATTTCATCATAAAGCAGTAAGGTGTCACAAGATGCAACAGTAGCATCCCTTAACCTGCCCAGGAATAGATGGCCCCTGTCAGGCCTCTGAGCCCAAGCTAAGCCATCCTTTCCCCTATGACCTGCACCTTTACGTCCAGATGGCCTGAAGCAACTGAAGAATCACAAAAGAAGTGAAAATGCCCGGTTGCTGCCTTAACTGATGACATTCCACCATTGTGATTTGTTTTTGCCCCACCTTAACCGAGCGATTAACCTTGTGAAATTCCTTCTCCTGGCTCAAAACCTCCCCCACTGAGCACCTTGTGACCCCCGCCCCTGCCCACAAGAGAAAAATCCCCTTTGACTGTAATTTTCCACTACCCACCCAAATCCTATAAAACGGCCCCACCCCTATCTCCCTTCCGTGACTCTCTTTTCAGACTCAGCCTGCCTGCACCCAGGTGAAATAGACAGCCTTGTTGCTCACACAAAGCCTGTTTGGTGGTCTCTTCACACGGACATACGTGAAAGCCCCTTTATGGGGGCTGTCATAAGGAAAGAGAATCAGGGGTCAGACTGTAAATGACAAGACACTCCAGTGAACTGATTTCCAAAGTGTGGGCCCTAAATCAGTAGCAGCAGAATCACGTGGGACCTTGTTAGAAATTAAAATTCTTGGGCACCACTCCACGCCTATTAGAATTAGAAACTCTGGTGACTCCGACGCATGCTGAAGCATGAGAACCACTGTTGTCATGCCAGTGCGAGGGTTCTCAAATTTTATGGTGTATAAGTATCACCGAGAGTGCTTGTAAAATATTTTTGGGCCCACCAGCAGTGTTTCTGATTCAGCAGGTTTGGGAAGGGCCCTCCAAATCTGCATTTCAAAGAAGGTCCCAGGTGATGATACTGTTTCATGCACTGCAGTTTGAATATTACTGTTCTAAGTATTCTCTGATCCCATAGCATTCTCTAGAATTCACATTACTATATTCTTCAAAACACTGCTATTGATTTATTCTTGATGCATAAGACAACATAATCTCAAGAACATTTAATAGATGGTTATCTTTTTGAGGATGTGAAGATGGTATGCAAGATTTCTATTTCTTTTTTTTTTTTTTTTAACAAAAAATAGTGTCTAAAGCGAAATTTGAATTTATGACCAAGGTCATTTTCCTTTAATACATAAAAAGTAACATGACATTGCAACTATAACACTAGAATGGATTTAGGAGAGTCAGCACCAGTCCTTATTTTGCAACTGAAAGCAAGTTATTTAACCTTTCTGGACCTCAATTAACCTGTAAACATGCATAAGTCTAGTCTCCTTAGGAAAAAAAGAAGCAAATCATCTAAAATGTTTTGTTTCTATGGGCTGTGCCAATAGGCAAAAGTGTCATTACTGAGTTTAACATCCCAGATATTTTAGGATCAATTTATCATATAGAACATTAAAAAAAAAAAGTTCACGGACACATTAATTATCTAATTAGGTCCTTCAAATAACTTGGTATATTTTGCCATACAACTTTCAGATTTTAGTTTAGAAACTGAAGTTATAATCAATATCTAAAACAAAAATGTTTTAGGCATGAGTCTCACAAAACTGCAGAGCGGTCTTATCTGTTATCTATTTTCTTTCCAGAGATGTGACACAATTTAACTTCATCTGGACAGCAGCCATAAAAAGAAAATCAAACAAACAAAAAACAGAAACAAACTGAAAAGTAGAATATATAATAATAATTCAGGTATGTAGATCAGTCAATTTATCCTCCTATGTAGTTAGGATGCAGGAAATAGCCGAGAAAGCAAGCTTACATTCTGTCTGCTTACCCTGGAGGGAAAAAACAGACCAGGTGAACTGAGGCATTTCAAAATGCCTCTACATTATCCTTGAGGACAAAGATATTCATTTATGAACGCTTTACTTGGGGGAAATTATCTTTATTAAGATGGCATTCACTTAAAAACAATTTGCCATTCATTCTGCCTGGTTGCTACAAAAGTATAAATTAAAGCTTTTTTTAAAAATCCCTTAAAATAACTGCTACATGATTAGGAAGTAATCTCCTGGATAAATACCAATTAACTAGATAATAGATCTAGTTTTACCCTAGGCTGAGTTCCTTACTCTGATAATTACCTACGTGTACAATAATATCACTGAATTGCAGGAATAATTTGCTATTAGAAATAATTATCTTGTGACCCAAGATCATCAGACACTTTTGCAAATCTCAGTGTAAAGAGAAAAATTTATGCAATAAATACAACATATGTAGAAACTGTATAATTATTTAGGAATCGACTAAATGTACCTTAGATAGTTAAGAAACTATGTGGTAGAAAGCTGAATTTTAAATCCCTTAATTGTTTTGGGTAAATAAGGATACCCTAATGGGTAAAATTGGAATTATTAAAGATCATCAGGATGGTCACGTTTATTATTAAGAACAATTCCAGGAAGAGCTAGGTAGAATTTTTAAATGATATTGAAATGTCAAATTTTAGTTACTGCAATTATTTGAATTATATACCATTCACTCTCTCAACAAACATTTATTGGTTACTTATTGTATCCACGGTATTTGCTACAATGGAATCTAAGTAAAACATAAAGAAGTGTAATAATAGGCTTCCTTTGTTTTGACGGGCAATGAGAAATTTTATGTGAGTGGCATGAAGGCATACAACAAAACGAATGTAATGTAATTTACTGGCTGAAGTGGAATAATGATTATTGGGAAGGTAGACATAAAATTAGTGGAGAATGAGAATAATACTGAATGCCATAGGAAGCACTTGGGTTTTATTTTGGAGGTATCTGGATTTATGGGAATTCGCATGTCTGGAGAGACATCAAAAAGCATCATTTTAGATATATTCATTTTAGTAAATCAATTAGAAAGGAGGGCAGTTCTCTCCACAGTGAGGTATATGGCTCAGGTTATGGACTTGGCAATTCGAATGAACATGAAATGACGGAAATGATGGCACTTGCCCAATAATACAATCTAATTATAATAAATAAGGAAAAGAAAGTAGAAGAAAAATTCACAGAACTAGAGATGTCAGGTGGTAAATTCTGTTTTGAAGAGGAAAACAGGAAGGTAATTTTACATTTCTTAGGTTTGAGATAATGTTTATTATGGAATTTTTCCCTGTCGATAATAGATGACTACCATCTCCATCACTACCTCCACCACCATCATCATCATCTCTACTATCGTTACCTCTCCCACCATCACTTCTACTCCTCCTACCCACCACAATCTTCCTCCATCTTCATCATCTCTATGGTCTCCACCACCAAATAAGAATCGAACCACTGCATTTATTGAATGTTTACCACCTTAAAGGCAATGTATTAAATGCTTATTTAATCCTCATGACAGTTGTTTTATAAAGTGAGAATACTGGAATCTGAGGCACAGATAACAAGTAATTTGCCTGCGCTCATAAGCTAGTAATTAAAACAGGCAGGTTTCACAAATACCACAGGTTCTTACCTATAAGTGAGAGATAAACACTGAGTACACATGGACACAAAGAAGGGAATAATAGACACTGGGGCCTATTTGAGAGTGGAAGGTGGGAGGCAGGTGAGGATGGGAAAACTACCTATCAGATATTATGCTGATTACCTGAGAGACAAAATTATCTGTACACCAAACAGCCACAACACGCAATTTACCCATGTAACAAACCTACACGTTAACCCCTTGAACCTAAACTAAAAGTTGGGAAAAAAAAAAAGGGCAGCATTCAAACCTCAGTAATTCTGATTCCAAAAGCAATGATTTTTTCCATATTTGCTACTTCTCTAGACACACAGGCAATGAATTATAACTAAAATATGTGTGCAATGTATAAGTAGGTATGGTTAATTGGAAGGAACAAATGTTTGCATTTGATGAACATTGAGGCAGTTGCTGGATGCACAAGCGGAAATAGCTTTAGAGATATAAAGCTTTAATTTGAGGGAGAGTGTCACATCTGGAGCTACATGATTTGGGAGTCAGTCACTTAGAGCCAGGCTCGAATCAATGAGAGGAGATAATCCAGATAAAGAAGTCAAAAGGCCGGGCATGGTGGCTCATGCCTGTAATCCCAGCACTTTGGGAGGCTGAAGTGGGTGGATCACGAGGTCAGGAGCTCAAGACCAGCCTGGCCAAGATGGTGAAACCCTGTCTCTACTAAAAAATACAAAAAAAATTAGCCGGATGTGGTGGAGGGTGCCTGTAATTCCAGCTACTCGGGAGGTTGAGGCAGAGAATTGCTTGAAACCAGGAGGCGGAGGTTGCAGTAAGCTGAGATCCCGCCACTGCACTCCAGCCTGGGTGACAGAGCAAGACACTGTCTCAAAATAAAAGAAGTCAGAAAGGCAAAGAGATGGATCTGTGTGATACTCCCATAGGAATAAGGCAGAAGGAATAAAACAAGTCAGGTAAAGAGTCGTGGGTGACAACTGGTAGTGTGTCACAGAAGCTGGAAGAGGACATCATTTAAATAAAACACTATTCAACAGATGGTCAAGACCTCAATATTCAGTGAAATATTAGTGGGCTTCAGATGATACAAAAACGGGGCACTAGCTAATATAAAGCTTATGGTTATATTTGCATGATGCCTCTTTAATCATTACAATACTTTAACAAGATTCCACCCTGTAGACAATTATCAATTAATGAATTTGTTCCTAAATGTTTGCCTTTTTGCTATCTTCGTTCAGTCTAAATTTATCAATCAAGTGTCGTATATAGCGTGTTCAGATAATTTTGCCGTCCAAATCAGGACACACTTGAGAGTGAAAGTTGATGCTATATATAATTATGCTGGGACAACAGGTGTAACTGGGATGGCTTCAGGTAAATCAATAGGATTACCTTAGTCATATATCTATGAAAAAGACATTTTACTATACAGCCCAGGTTTTGTAGCTACCTCAGTTCAAATCCTGTCTGAGGTACACTGTAGCTGTGTATAATTTTATAAAGTAATTATAGCCATACCTATTTTGGGAGGTTACTGGGAAAAATACATGCGATGCCAATAAAGCACTGAATCTACTACTGAGCACATAATAAATCCTCAATTTATGTTAGCTTTTATTTGAAGAATCTTTCTGTATGTGCCCAATGGGACTTCTCATTTAGGCACATACAAAAATTGCCGAAAACTTATGATACAAACAAATTTTGGAGAGAAGGTATTTCACCACTAGCCACTCTTTCCTGAAAACAAAAAGAAGTCAGAACACACTTTTTTTTTTTTTCCAACACAATCCATTCTCCAAACAGGAGCCAATAATAAGCTTTTGAAGACAGAGATTGACATGAATCAGCTTGCTCTGTTAATTTCTGTATTAGGCAAGTCCTGAAGACATTAAAAGTGTTAGGCAACTAGGTGTCCCTATTACTCTGTTTGGAGAACTGTTGGAGGGTTGTTGGAATGTTGCAAAGTATCCATAAATCTGTATGTCCACTAAGCGTTGTCTATAAACACATGTTTAATGTGACAACAAACAAGTTAATGTACATCTTACTAGGAATAATAAAAGAAATTCATCAAAAGCTTCACGGATTTGTGCCATTATGCTTTTCACTCCATCAATTTTTGTTAGATTTTCTATTACCATCGTGAGTAGAGTGCTTGGAAGTTCCTGAAAGTTGTTGCCACAAAAAGAATGCTAATATTCATAGAGTTTGAGAGCCATTTGACTGGAGCAAGGGTCGCCAAACTTTTTCTGTGATAGGATAGGTAATAAATATTTTAGGCTTTGTGGACTATACAGTTTGTGTTACAACTATTCAAACTCTGCCGTTGTAATGCGAAAGTAATCATAAGTGATAAATAAATGAGTTTGGCTGTGTTCCACTAAAACATTATTTATAACACTGAAATTTGAATTTTATGTAATTTTGACATGTCATAAAATATTATTTTTCTTTTGATTATTTTCAACCATTTGAAAACGTAAAAACACTTCTTGGCTGATGAGCCATACCAAACTGGCAGCATGCTAAATTTGGTTAGCAGGTCTTAGTTTGGTGACCCCTGGACTAGTGGATTTGCTTAGCCAAGCTGACACAACCAGGGAGAAAAGGCCCAGTGATTTACTTTGGAATTATCAAAGTAGGTCATAAGTCATTAGTTAATAGAGAAGTACTAAACATCCCAAATAATATATTTGAATAACTTCTCTAGATTTATTTTTTTTCTTAGAACATCTGACATGGTATTTTTAGATGTGTGTTCTTTTCAAACTTCTCTACCCTGGTATACACAAATTCTAATGTCAAGTGTTCCATGAGTTTCTAAACATATGCTGCTTAAAAACATACGGCAGATTTTAACGTTCTTTCTTAATCTTAGAATTACAATAACTGGAATGAAAGGGAAATTGTACCTTTTAAAATAATTTTTATGCCAGCTTTGCACTCATAAAATTTTATTGCCATCATTTTAATATATCCACTGATTTACATAATACCTAACTTATCTAAAATGCATAATTCTGAATAGTCACAAAAAGATCAGTTAAAAATTCTAACACCTTCAAGATAAGACTTTATAAATATCAAAGAACAGGAAATGTGTTCTGTAATTACTCCTGATTTAGGATGCGCAGACTGAGACATCATGTTCTCGTAAACTACCAGGATGGATCCCATCTATTATAGGTGTACTTCTTCATGAAAATGCACTTTCCGTTACTGGAAAAAAAAGACATTTAATGCAAAACTAGGGACTCAACAAGCAGGCCCTTTATAAGGAAGAAAAAAAAAAAAGAAAGAAAGAAACTTTTAGGATTAAAATGCTACCACAGTAGTTTATCACCTATAGTTTCTATAGTTTCTTCTTTCACCCCAGAAAACACCATTTCCATTAAGCATTTACTTTCTGTTGCGATAGTGATTTCTTGTGAAAGTTTTAAAATGTACTTCATAATTTTTCTCACTACATTAACTGACATTACAGGTACCCGAGGATTCTGGAAATATTGCTGAAGTGAAAACACCACCAACAAAACTGCTGTAAATGAGTTTTCTCCACTTCATTTGCAGATAAAAGCTTAAGATGCTCTCACCTTTTCCTAATTTCAGAATCCACAGTAATCTGCCTCTTCTTTTGGGGAGGTGGTGGTGGAAGTTCCTCTTGAGCATGCTTTACCAGGATCTGTTCCCTTGTGGTCACCGTAGTTACTGTTTCCATTACAGTTGTCTGTGTTAGTGATGGCTGAGTGGTGGTGACAGCCTGTGAAATCTGTGAGAAGTATTGAAACAGAGGTCAGACATTGCTAGAAAGACTTCAGTAAAGACTGCTTGGAGTGGCAAAGGAAAATAATGAGAAACTGTTCTTGCTTGTTGGTAGATTGACCTTCAGATCAAAATAGCACCATATTGAAGCCAAATAAAATTGTTTTATCTGACTTAAGTTTGGTTCACTGAAATAGCAAGGGAAAGTAATCTCAACATCGAAAGTCAATTTAGCGCCCCTTCAATATATTGGTCAAACTGTAGGAAATAAGGGGTGGGGGCAGAGGAGAAAAATGTAGAGTATAATTCATTCTGATAGTTAATTCTACATGCTGTTTAAAATGTTTACATTAATATGAATGTTACTAACGTACATCAGTACCAATTCCATTGCCTAGAACATTTTAAATGCTTATTAATAGTTTGTAGAATGCATTTTTGGTTATCATACACATTGATTATTTTATGTTATACATTTTTAAATAAAATTATTTCAACTTGGTAATGAACGACTCTTTAATCAAATAAGTGAAACAGCTTTTAAAATTACAATAAAAGGTTAACATAAAGTATGTATTAGTCCATATATATCTTTATGTTGAATGTTATTCAAATGCTAAAAAACACACTACTCTTGTTTGATTTAAATTAGTGATTATGTTCAAATATTTGAGTTCCCATATTCATCACTGGAGACACTTCTTGGTTTAGAATCTCAATTACCTCCTGTTCATACTTTTGGCAGCGGGCCGGGGGCAACAGTTCATCCATCTTTGGAATAATACATTTTGTGAGCCAAGACATGAGAGGCCATCACCTCAATACATGGGCATTACGAGATAGACAAGTCATATAATGGTGAGACAATCATTCCTTATCATATTCTCCGTCTCACAGAGCTCCTCTCATGACGATTGTAACGTTACCTCTTGGGATGGTAATCATTATCCTTCTGGCAATCCAACTTATATGCAAGGTCTGTTTCCAAGGAAGTCACAAGAGGCCTGCATTGAAACTGCCTCTGGTTACAAGCAAAGGAGCAGGGATCTGGCTGGGTCAAGATTCATTTTAGCAATTTTCCTGAATTTGCCAAGAGGTAAGGGAAGGGTTTGTAGTAATCTCCCTGCCTCATACACGAGGACTGATTCCTTTCATGTGAGGAAATGGGAAAAGCCTCAGGATCTTCTTATTTCAGCTTCCAAATTGGCAATGAACAGTGAAGGAATAAAATCTTTTCCATGATGTCTTAAGTAAAAATTGCTTTGACATACATAGCTTAAAAAGGCTACCTTTTGTTAAAGACATATCTTTACCTATGTGAGGGACTGAAGGATTTCCATTTTGGTAGGCTAAAAGGATACTAAGAATTACAGTTTCTACATTTGCCAAGCACAGGTTTTATCTTCTCTAGGATCTCCATAGATTCATTATTTAGAATGAATCACTGAACCTCAAACAACTTTAATTATAAGTCTGTTGACAAGTTATGTCAAGATGAAAGCAGAAAGCAACATAGCTCTAAAAAAAGCTTAAAATATAAACTCAAACATTGCACCCAACACAAAATGACCATTACGTGATAAAATTAGTTTTATTTCTAGTCAAAAAGAAAATGTAGTTTTTAGTAGGATTCCAAGAGCATTTACTTTGTAATTTGAATATTTTTTAACCATGAGAAAACTTGCTTTGCAAAGAAAATGCAGTTTTTAGTAGGATCCCAAGATAATTTATTTTTTTATTTGAATATTTTTTTAACCATGAGCACACTTTCTTTGCATACAGTGGAGGCTAGAAGATAATATTTTGCAGATTAAGAAAATACCTAATTTTAAACATACAGACCAGAATGCAGAGATTCTGAAAATACCAAGCTAATTCATGCAGTTATATCCAATCTCATAGAACATTTGTGCTACTAAAAATTTGACTCTTAAATTAATTTCTGTAATATTAATATTTTCGTGGTATCTACTTATAAAATTGGATACATGTGCCCATGGAGGGTAAAGGGAAATGACAACATGATATACTGTGAAGCGGCATTTAAAAATATACTCAACCTTTTAAGAAAGAAAAATGAATCATTTTTAATAAAAGAGTAGTAAGACATGAGTCTGTAATTGTTCTATATAATAATCACTACTACACTGTAATTGAAAAATACTACTTCATTTCCTTCGGGATGGAGAAATAAGAAAACTGTGCATTCACCCTGTAAATATAGGGTAGAACTCATTACATATAACAAATTAATAATCACTCTCAAAACCTACTTCATACAATCAGAATAAAAAACAATCAGTCATGTACTAAATTTCCTTATGGCTTATAGTTATTGACTATAACTATTATTGACACTTAATTATGTGTTAGAATCATTAGGAAATATAGACAGGAGAGGGACTACGAAGGCCATTTAACATGACCTCCTGATTATTACAGAGCTCACTACTCCCTGAAACAGAAAGCTCCTTTCTTAGCATGCAAGCAAACTTTCCCCATTGGGAAAGATGTTCTTAACAACCAGAGGAATCCTGCCTGATTAAGACTTCCTCTTGTTAAAACTTGTTTTGAGTTCTGAATGAAAGCAGAGTAAATTGAATATCATTTCTACCTGATATTCTAAGATTTGAAATCTAATAATCATGACCCTGATAAATATCATTTTCAAACTCTATAATGCCAGTTATTTGCTAGAAGTAGATATAACTTGATTCGTCATCCAAAACCAATGTTTCTTGGCTTTGGACACCATAGTCAATCAAAGAATTCTAAAACTGTGTAAGTTATTCAGCAGCTGAACCACAAGGTTTCTATAAAATTCTAATGTTTATTGAATATATATTCACTATAGGACATTCAGAAATGAGTAAAATAGAAACTCCATATTTAGGAACCTTACGGCAAAATAGGGACGATGATAATCACACAAATAATTGTGAAGATGAATGCCACGTGAAAAATACCAGTATGCAAAATAATTACATACACCAAACATACAGTAATCAAGTAATTTTCTCTTTAAATGTTATGAAAACAGATTTCTCTCAGCTAGCATTTTAACATTTAGATTTAATTTGATGCTGAAGGCTAGATATAATATTTATCCTTGTTTATAGGGTCTTTCTAACAGTAACTTTTGGAAACAACCTCATGTCATAGATGATGGTTTAAGTACATTATGGTATATGAATGTGGATGGAGTATTATATTTCAAATATTTTAATGTCATTGGAAAACGTTTGCTTTACACTATTGAGTAAACAATGCTAGACATAAACATTGGTTGATTTTTGACAGAGAAAGTAGAGAAAATTTCTGTTGCACAGTGTATATTTCTGTATTCCTTTAGTTTCCAAAGTTCTTCTATAAGATATTATCTGCAAAATGTTGCATTTGTAAGCAAAGAAAAATTTTGAAAGTTTTGCCAAACTGTTTGTTTTAAATCTATCATTTCTATTTATATATTAAGATCTATGGAATCATACTCCTGTCACTCAATGCATTAGAATGAGGAAAACTTCAAGCATGATAAGAATAACGTAGTGCCTTCACTAAAATGTTTAATATGGCAGAGTCAAAACTAGAATAGAATATAGTTTGACCTATATTCAACAATCTTTGTATCTAGCTAACTATACTTTTACCCAGTCACCTTTCTTCATTTTGATTATGAGTCTATTTAAGACTCTAAAATGATATCATGAAAAGAAAATACATTTCTTTTTAAAATACTATTCATTTTAACTGCAAGTTAATTTCCCTAGTAAAAATGGGAAATAGTTTAGAAATACTTGTCTTTACATTTGGGAGCTGATTCCTCTTAGAGTGGTTATAAGTAGAGGCATTGGAGCCAGTCTCCACAATTATTAAACACCAGATCCATAGTTTATACACTGTGACATTTGGGGCTGGTTGGTTCTTATCTCAAATCTATGCATTATTTTCTTCATCTTTAAAGTAAGAGTAACACATTTCTTCACAGGTGTGTTACAAGCAAGGACAGCTTCATGGGCTGGTAATTTATGCAGTTGCCCAGGGCCCCTGCTCAGGAGGCTTCCATGCTTGTTTTCAAGCTCTGCTTCCACTGTCTTGAAATTCTTAGGTCTTGAACAGGAAGCCCTTGTTTTCAGTTTGCACTGGGCCCACAAATTATGTAGCCAGTCCTGGTTTTGAGAATTAAATGATATAATATCTGAATAAAATAAGTGCTCTATAATGGTAAATATCAGCAGTAACCACTATCTTTTCTAAACGCTCAGGGAAATTTGAAGAATTTTTCTATACTCAACCTTCTTACTCATAAGATTACATATGTTAAAAAGATTTAAACTTTAAAATTTACATTTTCTCATTCTGAGAAAAATTGGAAGAGCATTTGCCAGCATCCTGATATTATTCCAGGGTGTGCCTCTTCTTGCAGTAAGATTGTGTTATTTTGATAGGCCTGGGAAAAACAAACTATGCTCAAGAAATGAAGTTCTTTCTTTCCATCTTCTCTTCCACTTGTTTAAAAAATGCACATTTAAAAAAAGAAACATAAGTACATCAAAGCAAATTTAAAGAATACAAAAGGACATACAATAAAATAAAATACTTTTTTTCTACCACTGTCTCCAGTTTATTAGGAATCACTACAAGTCATGTATAACTTAACAACTGGGACACATTCTGAGAAATTCATCCTTAGACAATTTTGTCCTTGTACGAACGCCGTGGAGTGTACTTACACAAACCTAGATGGTACAGACTACTATACGGCCAACCTATGTGGTACAGCTTATTGCTCCTAGCTACAAACCTGTACAGCATGTGACTATACTGAATAGTGTAGGCACAATGGTAAGTATTTGTGTATCCAAACATATCGAAAGGTACAATAAAAATATGATATAGAGAGTTGGGCATAAAACAATCTTTAGAAAATTTTTTTAAAACCCACAAAATTATACCAACAACACTCTTGGACCACAGTGCAATAAAAATAGAAATCAATGTTAAGCAAATTGCTCAAAACCATACATTAAAATGGAAATCAAACAAACTGCTCCTGAATGACCTCTGGGTAAACAATAAAATTAAGGCAGAAATCAAGAAATTATTTGAAACTAATGAAAATTTAAAAAGATGTAACATACCAGAATCTCTGGGACACACACAAAGCAGCGTTAAGAGGCAAGCTTATGGCACGAAACACCCATATCAAAAAGTTAGAAGGATCTCTAATTACAAAACGAACATCACAAGGAACGAGAAACAATAGCAAACTAACCCCAAAGCTAGAAGACAGGAAATAACCAAAATCGGAGCTGAACTGAAGGAAAATGAGATGCAAAAAAGCACAGAAAAGGTCAATGAATCTAGGAGCTGTTTCTTTGAAATAATTAATAATAAAGATAGACCACTACCTAGAATAATAAAGAAAAAAAGAGAGAAGACTCAAATAAACACAATAAAAAATGACAAAGGGGATGTTACCATTGACCCCACAGAAATAGAGAAAACCCTTAGAGACTATTCATAATGAACACCCCTATGCACACAAGCTAGAAAACCTAGAAGCAATGGATAAATTGCTAGAAACTTACAACTTTCCAAGTTTGAACCAGGAAGAAATGGAATCATTGAACAGACCAATAATGAGTTCCGAAATTAAATTAGGAACAAAAAGCCCACCAACCAGAAAAAGCCCAGGACCAGACAGATTCACACCTGAATACTAACAGATATAGAAGGAAAAGCTGGTATCATTCCTATGAAACCACTCCCAAAAATTGAGGAGCGGCTCCTTCCTAACTCATTCTATGAGGGAAGCATTGTCCTGATACCAAAACCTGGCAGACACACAACAACCAAAAAAGAAAACTTCAGGCCAATGTCCCTAATGAACATAGATGCAAAAATAGTCAACAGAATACCAGCAAACCCAATCCAGCAGCACATCAAAAAGCTAATCCACCATGATCAAGGAGCTTCTATCCCAGGGTTGCGAGGTTGATTCAACATACACAAGTCAATAAATGTGATTCACCACATAAACAGAACAAAAAATCAAAAACCACATGATCATTTCAGTAGATATAGAAAAGGCATCCTATAAAATTCAACACCCTTTCATGTTAAAAATCCTCGACAAACTAGGCACTGAAGGAACATATTTCAAAGTAATTAGAACCATCTTTAAAAAGTCCACAGCCAACATTATACTGAATGTGCAAAAGCCAGAAGCATTGTGCTTGAAAACTGGCATAAGACAAGGGGGCCCTCTCTTACAAATCTCATTGAACATAGTACTAGAAATCCTAGCCAAAGCAATCAGGAAAGAGAAATAAAGGCAATCCAAATAGGAAGAGAGGAAGTCAAATTATCCCTGTTTGCAGACGATGAGGTTCTATACTTTGGCCATAGTCTCTGCCCAAAAGCTCATTGATCTGATACACAACCTCAGCAAAGTTTCAGCATCCAAAATCAATGTATAAATATCACTAGTGTTCCTACACACCAACAACATTTAAGCTAAGGCCAAATGAAGAACACAGTCCCATTCATAATTGTCAAAAAGAAATAAGATACCTAGGAATACAGCTAAGCAAGGAGGTGAAACACTGCTAAACTGAGAATTACAAAATATTGCTCAAGTAACTCAGAGATAACACACAAAAAATGGAAAAATATTCTATGCTCATGGAAGAATCAATATTGACAGAATGGCCATAATGCCTAAAGCACTTTTTAATTCAATGCTATTCCCAAAAAACTACCAATAACATTCTTCACTGAATAAGAAAAAGACTATTTAAAAATTCAGTTGGAGCCACTAAAAGAGCCAGAATAGCCAAGGTAATCCTAAGCAAAAAGAAAAAAGCTGGAACCATCCCATTGCCTGACTGCAAACTATACTACAAGGATATAGTAACCAAAACAGCATGGTACAAAAAACAGACACATAAACCAATGGAAAAGAATAGAGAGTCGAGAAATAAGGCTGCACACCTACAACCATCTGTTCTTCAATGAAATCAACAAAAACAAGCAATGGGAAAAGGACTGCCTATTCATTGGACCCCTTCCTTACACCATATACAAAAATTAACCCGAGGTGGATTAAAGACTTAAATCTAAAACCAACAACTATAAAAACCTAAGAAGATAACCCAGGTAATGCCACTCTGGACATTGAAACTGCAAAGACTTCATAACAAAGACACCAAAAACAATTGAAACAAAAACAAAAATTGAAAACTGGGACCTAATTAAACTAAAGAACTTCTACACAACAAAAGAAACTATCAACAGAGTAAACAGACAACCTGCAGAATGGGAGAAAAATTTTGCAAACTTTCCATCTGACAAGGGTCTAATATCTGGAATCTACAAGGAACTTAAATTTACAAGCAAAAACCAAACATCACCATTAAAAAGTGGGCAAAGGACATGAACCCTTTCCAGAAAAAGACATACATACAGAAAACATTCATATGAAAAAATGCTGAACATCAATAATCATTAGAGAAGTGCAGATCAAAACCACAATAAGATACCATTTGACACCAGTGAGAATGGCTATTATTAAGAAGTCAAAAAATCACAGATGCTGGCAAGGTTGCACAGAAAAGGGAACGTTTATTGCACTGCTGATATTAGTGTAAATTAGTTCAGCCACCGTGGAAAGCAGTTTGGTGATTTCCCAAACAACGAAAACCAGAATTACCATTCGACCCAGCAATAACAATTATTGGGTATACCAAGAAGAATATAAATCCCTCAACCCTAAAGACACATGCACATGTATGTTTTATTGAAGCATTATTCACAATAGCAAACACATGGAATCAGCCTAAATGCCCATCAGTGGTAGACTGGATAAGGAAAATGTGGTACATATACACTGTGGAATTCTATGCAGCCATGAAAAAAGAGATTGTGTTCTTTGCAGCAAACATGGATGGAGCTGGAGGCCATTATCCTAAGCAAACTAACACAATAACACAAAATATCACATTTTCTCACTTCTAAGTGGGAGATAAACATTGAGAACACACGGACTCAAAGAAGGGGACAACAGACACGGTGGTCTATGTGAGGCTGGAGGGTAAGAGGAGGGTGAGGATTAAAAAAACTACTTATTGGGTACTATGCTTATTACCTGGGTGATGAAATAATCTGTACAACAAACCCCTGTGACATGCAATTTATCTATATGACAAACCACCACATGTACCTCTGAAGCAAAAATAAAAGTAAAAAATAATATAGTATAATAATATTATGAGACCACTGTCATATATGTGGTTCATTGTTGACTGAAATGTTGTTATGCAGCATATGACTGTAGTTGCAATTACGAACTATTCAGCTATTCTTTAATTTTAAATTCATTTTGTTTATGCTGTTATTTTATGATATGGTTTGGCTCTCTGTCCCCACCCAAATCCTCATGTTGAATTCTGTCTTCAGTGTTGGAGGAAGGGCCTGGTGGGAGGGGACTGAATCATGGGTGTGGACCTCCCCCTTGCTGCTCTCCTGATAAGAGTTCTCATGAGATTTGTTTGTTTGAAAGTGTGTGGCAACCCTTGCCAGATCGTGGCCAGTCTGCTTCTTTAAGTGGGACCCTGATCCATCCTCCTCACTGGGTGGGACCTCCCTGAGGGGGCTTCAGCCATTCCACCCAGGATTCAATGGATAGAGCTCTGATCTCTCCCTGGGACAGAGCTTCTGGGAGGAAGACCAGCTGCCACCTCTGCAGTTCTTTGAAACTAATGAGAACAAAGAGACAATTTATCAGAATCTCTGGGACGCAGCTAAAGCAGTGTTAAGAGGGAAATTTATAGCACTAAATGCTCACATCAAATAGCTAGAAAGATCTTAACAGCCTAACATCTCAAATAAAAAAACTAGCAAACCAAGAGCAAACAAACAAGAAATAACCAAGATCAGAGCTGAACTGAAGGAGATAAAGACATGAAAAACCCTCCAAAAAACTAAATGAATCCAGGAGCTGGTTTTTGGAAAAAAATAAAAATAAAAAAGGTAGACTTCTAGTTAGACTAATAAGGAAGAAAAGAGAGAAGAATCAAATAAACACAATGAAAAATTTGAAGAGGAATATCACCAATAATTCTACAGAAATACAAACAACCATCAGGGAATACTATAAACACCTCTATGCACATAAACTAGAAAACCTAGAGGAAATGGATAAATTATTGAACACATTTCTCCCCTCTAAGACTGAACCATAAAGGAAATGAATTGCTGAATAGATCAATAATGCGTTCTGAAATTGAGGCAATAATAAATATCCCACCAACCAACAAAAGCCCAGGTCCAGATGGAATCATAGCTGAATTCTACTAGCGGTACAAAGAAGAGCTGGTATCATTTCCACTGAAACTATTCCAAAAAAATTGAAAAGAAGGGATTTCTCCCAAACTTATATTATGAGGTCAGCATCACCCTGATGCCAAAACCTGGGAGGGAGGGAGGGAGGGAGGGAGGGGGAGGGAGAGAGAGAGAGAGAGAGAGAGAGAGAGAGAGAGAGAGAAGGAAAGAAGAAAGAAAGAAAGAAAGAAAGAAAGAAAGAAAGAAAGAAAGAAAGAAAGAAAGAAAGAAAGAGAGAGAGAGGGAGAGAGAAAGAAAGAGAGAGAGAGAGAGAGAAAGAAAGAGAGAAAGAAAGAAAAGCAAACTTCAGGCTAATATCATTGATGAACACTGATGCAACAATTCTCAATACCAGCAAACCAAATCCAGTAGCATATCAAAAAGCTTATCCACCACAATCAAGTTTGCTTCATCCCTAGCATGCAAGGTTAGTTTAACACATGCAAATCAATACATGTGATTCATCACATAAACAGAACTAAAGACAAAAACCACATGACTATCTCAATAGACAACCAAAAGGTATTTAATAAAATTCAACATCCCTTCATGTTAAAAATTCTCAATAAACTAGGTATCGAAGGAACATACCTCAAAATAATAAGAGCCATAAATTATAAACCCACATCCAAATGGGCAAAAGCTAGAAGCATTCCCCCTGAAAACTGGCCCAAGATAAGGATGCCATCTCTCACCACTCCTTTTCAACATAGTATTGGAAGTTCTGACCAGGGCAATCAGGGAAGAGAAAGAAATAAAGGGTATTCACATAGGAAGAGAGGAAGTCAAATTATTTTTGTATTCAGATGACATGAACCTATATCCAGAAAACCCCCATTGTCTCAGCCCAAAAGCTAAGACTTCAAACTATACTACAAGGTTACAGTCACCAGAAAAGCAGGGTACTGGTACAAGAACAGACACATAGACCAATGAAACAGAATAGAGAACTCAGAAATAAGACCACGCACCTACAACCATCTGATCTTCGACAAACCTGAAAAAACAAGCAATGGGGAAAGGACTGCCTATTTAATACATAGTGCTGGGATAGTCCTATGCAGAAAATTGAAAGTGGACTTCTTCCTTACAATCTATACAAAAATTAACTCAAGATGGATTAAAGACTTAAATGCAAAACCCCAAACAATAAAAACCTTAGAAGAAAACCTAGGTAATAAGATTCAGGACATAGGCATGGGCAAAGGTTTCATGAGGAAAATGGCAAAAGCAACTGCAACAAAAGCAAAAACTGACAAAGGGGATCTAATTAAACTAAAGAACTTCTGCACAGCAAAATAAACTACCGTCAGAGTAAATAAACAGCCTACAGAATGGGAGAAAAGTTTTGCCATCTATCCATCTGACAATGGTCCAGAGTCTACAAGGAACTTAAACAAATTTACAAGAAAAAAACAAATAACCTCATTAAAAAGTGGGCAAAGCACATAAACAAACACTTCTCAAAAGAAGACATACATGTGACCTAAAACGATATGAAAGAAAACTCAACATCATTGATCATGAGAGAAATGCACATCAAAACCACAATGAGATAACATCTCACGCCAGTCAGAATGGTTACTATTAAAAAGTCAAAGAACAATAGATGCTGGTGAGGTTGTGGAGAAAAGGGAACACTTTTACACTCTTGGTGGGAGTGTAAATTAGTTCAACCCTTGTGGAAGACAATGCGGAGATTTCTCAAAGACTTAGAGGCAGAAAAACCATTTAAGCCAGCAATCCCATTACTGGGTATATACCCAAATATAAATCATTCTATTATAAAGATACATGCATGTGTATCATTGCAACACTATACACAATAGCAAAGACATGGAATCAACCTTAATGCTCATCAATGATAGACAAGATAAAGAAAATGTGGTACATTTACACCAAGGAATACTATAATGCCACAAACACGAACGAGTCAAACTTCTTTTCTTCATAAATCACTCAGTTTCAGGTATGTCTTTATAGCAGTGTAAGAACAGGCTAATAAATTTTCCTTTTATTTTTGACTGATATTCTTAATTGAAACTTTTAACTTTCCATTTAATTATTTACATATTATTGCCTTTGTAACTTTTTTGTTATGCTGGGATAAGAGATTTCAACTTCTTGCCTTTTGAGATATTCTAGTATTTGAATATTTAGATACTTACTAGAAAGATTCAAGCTATAAAGTATTAGTTACTAATTTAGCATAAAATCTTTATTTTGCAAATACTAATACTTGCAATAACAGGTACCAGTTATGAAGCTTTCTGCATGATCCAGGCATTACAATAAGTGTTTTGAATTGATTATCTTATTCAAAAGATCTAGAAAAACTCCCTTGCTATGTTGTAAAGCTTTAATAAATGGTAGCTATTATGACCTCACAATGGCCCTAAGAGTAAGTACTAATATTATTCCTATTTTATAGATGAAAGTGACCTTGTTGAGGCAGATAAAACTTTTTAGTAGCAAAGCATAGATATAAATCCAAGTCTGAATGTTCATTCATCCAACTCTTATCAGCTATGCTCACTTGCTCCTACACTTGTACACTTTTTTGAATGGTGGTTTCCTTTTAAGGGGTGTGTATTTGTATGCATACACACACATATATAAATTCAGAATACTGAAATTGTAAACAATGGCACATCATAACTATTATATAGGAAGAATTACTCAATGTTAAATATGTTTGGCTCTTGACATGCTATATTGAAATCTGTGCAAAATTAGTCAAAATACACTACACACACACAATCAGGTTGACAACTGTGGATCAAGGCTTTTCATTGCGTTGTCTGTCTATGTATATGTAACCCTTTGGAGTGATCAATAAGTTTTAATGGGCATGGAGGAATTGCACTTCTGCAGTTTAAAACATACTGCATAATCATAGCAACAGCTTTAGATAATAATTGATAGCCATGCTTAAAAACCAACTCCACAGGCATGGTAGCACAAGGCACAAAAATCTGGTAAAGATTTGCATCTCTAAGCAAAAGAAAATATTTATATGTTGAACTTTGGGAGAATCCTTGGGCAAAAGATCAGATGGTCACAAAGGAAGCTGAGTTACTAATCACAAGGATGTAAAATGCTTTATCTTATGAAGTATAGAGGACTTCCCATAGCTGAATGTAGCATACAATGAGTGCCAAAGTTCAGGACAGTAGCCTGGTAACTAAAATTTACTATTAATTACTGTAATTAATTTATTATTACAATAATTTAATAATAATTTAATTTATATTAATAATTAATTTATTACTGTAAGGTAATAAAATTTCTTGAATAAGTACTGACATTGAAATCATGAGCAAAATTATTGTCAAATACTTAGAAGGCATCATAAGTCATTTGTTTCTTCGAAATAAATATTATATGATAATTAAGAAGGTTTATTCTGTAAAACTGTCTGTCCAATTTAATGTATTTTGTTCCTCATTTTAAATTGTCTTTAGTACAAATTGTATCAGAAAGAAGAGATGTATGTTGTCTTCTGGATTCATATTAAATACGGAATTTGAGCAACTGTGTGAATTAACTGCACCTGCAAAAATTGCAAAGCAATGAGATTTAATTTTTCTGATCCATCTGGCCTTCCTCTACATACCATCTAACACTGAAGTAATGAAACACATTCTATAATTAGGGATGGATATTATCAAGTATAGGCTTAGGAAAAAGACTTGTATTTGTCTTTATGTGTTATTTCATTTTTTTGTCAGGAGATAATAGGCGTATCATACAGATGCTGAGCATTTTGTCTGTATGGTATTTTAATGACATACTCAGTGAATACAGTGTAATAATTTCATAATTAAGTCTCCTTTGAATAGGGATAGGATGTTATTATCATTATTTTTTAGCTGCCTTTCCAGTGGCAAAAGTAGGAATCTTCTTCACTAAGTACTCCAGAGTTTCACATAAAAGCAAAGAGAAACATATCAAAGACATTTAGAACTCGATGGCCACTATAGAAATCTGCCTAGCTTACCTTTCCTTTAAATTTATAAATAAAGAATGAGAGATTCCAAGAGTTAACTCAGACTGAATGTATTAAATTTTTTAGTGCTTACATTTTATATTGTTACAGACAATGCATTTACAAGGTAAAACCTATTGCACTGATATACAAGGCCCATTCTCAAATACCTATTATAGTTGGAGATAGCAAAATGATACAGTTAATTTCCAAAGTTATTTGAGATGTAACTTCAAATTTTCTTTTTTTTTTTTTTTTTTTTTTTTTTTTTTGAGACGAAGTCTCGCTCTGTCATCCCGGCTGGAGTGCAGTGGCATGATCTCGGCTCACTGCAACCTCCACCTCCCGGGTTCAAGCAATTCTCCTGCCTCAGCCTCCCAAGTAGCTGCAATTACAAGCGCCTGCCACCATGCCTGGCTACTTTTTTTGTATTTTTAGTAAAGATGGGGTTTCACCATGTTGACCAGGCTGGTTTCAAACTCCTGACCTCAGATGATTTGCCTGCCTTGTCCTCCCAAAGTACTGGGATTACAAGTGTGAGCCACCACACTCGGTCAACTTCAAATTTTTCTAATAAAACTTTAACCTGAGGAATTACCCAAAACATGTTCTCAAATTTAAGGGAGTTAATTCTATGACCTTAAGTAAGAAGGAAACACAAAATAAGTAAGGTATTTTTATTTTAATTCCAGATTTTAAAAAATTATTTTCTTTTTTAATTGGCATCAGGCTTACTAGTCGTGGAGAGCTTTCAGGAAGCAATGAAAAGGTCTTTTAAATAAAAAGCCTTAGAGTATTTTTAATTAAACTTACTGGCCAAAAAAGAAGAGAGGCAAACCATTTGCAACTATATCCCCCTTGTACAAAGAGGTCTACAAAATGATGCTCTGAGAATGGGTACAGCCAGAACGTGAACATAAAATATTTTATGAAGGGTTAAAATAGAGGATCTTTAAAGAATGAGAATTAACTCAGAAAAGAAGAACATGTAAAGAAATTTTCATCTTGGTACATTGGCATATTTCTATTTGCATTTTGGGTATAATAAAAAGCACTGGCTTATCATTTACAGCTATGTTTTATATTACTATTTGATAGGAGTTTTAAATCTCCCATCAGGTGCTTGCTTCGGCAGCACACATAATAAATCTCTCATCAGGATATAGATGATATAGAAGGTACACATAATTATATAATAATCATTTTCTCTTTTTGGGCATCCTTGAATGTAGGCACAAACATATACAGCATAAACATGAACTGCCATGTACAAGAAGAGGCAAATTCTGAGCATATGTATTTTATCTTAAAGAGGTGCTCACAGTTGAGAATGTTGCAAAAATTGTTGTTAGCAATATAGCAAAATATTCACAAAATGGGAATGAGATATTTGAACCTTAATAAGTCATACAACTTTCCTTATTCCTGAGAAAGAAGACAATTTATTCTACTAAAAATCCACAAAACTACAAAACCTTTAGACTCGCTTGAAAAAAAAAATATATATATATATGCTTACACCAAAGCACCTGGTATATACTACTTAATATAAATTACATATTAAATACAGTAATTACAATTTATGGCGTAATATGATAATTACAATTAGCATACCAAATTGTAAAGCATATGACTAATATACCCTTTCAACAGCACATGTGATTTCAGTCAAATGAGGAAAGTAATGCTTCAAATCACATACATTATATTTTAAAATATTAATTATAATAAATTTCTTACTATCACATTTATTTTTTTAAGTTCCAGGGTACACGTATTGGATGTGTAGGTTTGTTATGGAGGTAAATGTGTGCCACGGTGGTATGGTGCACCTACAGACCCATTAGGTAGATATTGAGCCCAGCATCCGTTAGCTATTTTTCCTGATGCTCTCCTCCTCTCCCAGCAACAGGCCCCAGTGTGTGTTGTTCTCTTCCCTGTGCCCATGTGTTCCCATTGTTCAGCTCCTACTTATAAGTGAGAACATGCAGTGTTTGGTTTTCTGTTCCCGCATTAGTTTGCTGAGAATAACAGCTTCCAGCTACATCCATGTCTCTGCAAAGGACATACTCTCATTCCTTTTTATGGCTGCATACTATTCCATGGTGTATATGTATCACATTTTCTTTATCCAGTCTATCATTGATGGGCATTTGGGTTGATTCTATGTCTTTGCTATTGTGAATAGTGCTGCAATTAACATACAAATGCATGTATCTTTATAATAGGATGATTTATATTCCTTTGGGTATATATCCAGTAACGGCCTTGCTGGGTATTTCTGGTTCTAGTTCTTTGAGGAACCACCACACTGTCTTCCACAATGGATAAACTAATTTACATTCCCACCAACAGTGTAAAAGCATTCCCATTTCTCTGAAACCATGCCAGCGTCTGTTGTATCTTGACTTTTTAAAAATCACCATTCTGTCTGGCGTGAGATGGTGTGCTGAGGCTAATATGGATGAATTGAGAGAAGTAGGCTTCAAAGGTGGATAATAACAAACTTCCCTGAGCTAGAGGAGAATGTTCTAACCCAATGCAAACAAGCTAACAACCACGATAAAACGTAACAGGAGCGGATAACCAGAATAACCAGTTTACAGAGGAACATGAATGACCTGATAGAGCTGAGAAACGCAATACGACAACTCCACAATGAAATCACATTGTCAATACCTGAATAGACCAAGCAGAGGAAAGAATCTCAGAGCTTGAAGACTATCTTGCTGAAATAAGACAGGCAGAAAAGATTAGAGAAAAAGAAAAGAATAAAAATGAATGTACAAAACGTCTGACAAATGTGGGATTATGTAAATTCTGAAGCAAAGACTGTTTGGGGAACCTGAAAGAGACGGGGAGAACGGAACCAAGTTGGAAATCACACTTCAGGATATCATCCAGGAGAACTTCTCCAATCTAGAAAGCCAGCCAAACATTCAAATTCAGGAAATACAAGATACTCACTGAGCAGAAGCCAGCCCAACATTCAAATTCAGGGAATGCAAGATACTGAGCAGACCAACCCCAACATACGTAATCATACAATTCTCCAGGTTTAAATGAAAGAAAAAATGTTAAGGACAGCCAGAGAGAAAGGCCAGGTTACCTACAAAGGGAAGCCCATCAGGGTAACAGCAGATCTCTCAGCAGAAACCCTATAAGCCAGTAGAGATTGGGGGCTAATATTCAACACCGTGAAAGAAAAGAATTTCCAAGGCAGAATTTCATATCCAGACAAAGTAAGCTTCATAAGTGAAGGAAGAATAAAATCTTTTCCAGACAAGCAAATGTTGATGGAATTCGTCACTATCGTATTTCATAATTATGATCAAGATAAAATATATATCGATCAGGGCCAAGGCAATTAGAAAAAACTGCACAAATTACAAGTATGTTTATAAAAAATTACAGGGAATCATGATCATTTGAGTTTTTAAAGAAGTCAATCCAGGGTATATTTGCCCTCTTTTCTCATTGTAAGCCTCCAGATAGCAAGAGTTATTATCTCTCCAACATTTAGAAAAAAAGTATTTTCTATCTTCTTAGGCTACCTTCTAATCAACTTAAATACCCTCAGCTTGTGTCCAGGTATTATTCAAGTCAAATCTGAGTTTGAAATGCAAGAGAGCAGTCCTCCTAGCTGATTATTTTTTCACGTTTTGATCTCTTGCCATGCAACTGCTTCAAAAGGTCAAAAATGCCTCAAAGCTCTGACCTGAACAGCAATCATACGCGCAAGCAGTGTTCTTTATATGAGTACAACTGGGTGCCTTGTCATCTCAATCACGATTTCCACACCCTGCCTCACAATAGGTTTTAACCATTATGAGAACTTTGCTCATTCTTTATACTAATTATTTAAAAGAATTTTTGAAACAATTGAGTATATCATGTGAGTAGTCATTAATGAAACTCATTTTTCTCCCACAATCATTATAGAAAATGTACATACAAGTGAGCTTTGTTCTTCAAAGTCACAACCTTACAGCTCATATTCTTGGAATTCTCCTTATGTAATTTTAATCAAGGTCAATTTAACATGGATAAAAGAAAATCAGTTGCTCTTATATGATACTATTTCGCTGTTGTCTCTGTTTACCTCCTTTTAATTTCTCTTTTCCTGAGTAGCTCCATTTCTACCTTCCTGTGAGCTCAAAAACAGCCAGCAAAGATTTGGATCAATCCCATGACAGCATAATTTTTGGAAAGGCAATGAGAGAAAACTGAAACATAAGCTTAAGAAAAACTCAAGCTTAGTGTTCTGGAAAACAACTTACATGATGTTAAGTCCTTTTATTTATTTCTAGCCCACAATAGGAGCGTGTAACTGTTTGAAAATAAAATTAAAAGGAGATAGTGGGCCGGGCGCGGTGACTTATGTCTGTAATCTCAGCACTTTGGGAGGCCGAAGTGGGAGGATCACAAGGTCAGGAGATCGAGACCACCCTGGCCAACATGGTGAAACCCCATCTCTACTAAAATTACAAAAAATTAGTGGGGTGTCATGGTAGGCACCTGTAGTCCCAGCTGCTACTTGGGAGGCTGAGGCAGGAGAACGGTGTGAACCCAGGAGGCAGAGCTTGCAGTGAGCTGAGATTGTGCCACTGCACTCCAGCCTGGGTGACACAGTGAGACTCCATCTCAAAAAAAAAAAAAAAAAAAAAAGCAGATAGAGAACCACAAAAAGCCCTCCAGACACACTGAACTACATGACTTACATATCAAACTCAACCTTTTTCCCCTCAAATGCTTTCTTGTCTATGCCTCCATTTTATCTTCATTGTATCCCTATGAGCAAGTGAAGAGATACATGCTGTAATGCATGTTGGACTTTATTTCATAAAGAACCATGCAAATCAAAACCAGTATTCTTTTATTATAGAATTATACAAGTTGGAAGACATCACGTCAATTGCCTAGGTGGTGGTCTCATAATTTCTAGGGAATTAAAAATAAGGCTTCAAATGCTTTTCTACCAATTGGAATAATCAAATCAGTAATATTTCGATGACATGTACAAACTTCATCAAAAAGTAGTCCCATTCCAAGGGAATGAGCATATTTATATAGTGTATTCCCAAGAAGCTCTCCCTTTTCACATTTCAGGGAGCATTGTGGAAAACCAGAATGTTGGGATTCACACACATATCACTGTCTATTTTCTTTAAACATTTATTTTAGGCTCAGGAGTACATATGAAGGTTTGTTACATAGGTAAATGTGTGTCACAGGGGTTTGCTTACCAATTATTTCATCACCCAGGTATTAAGCCCAGTATCCAATAGTCTTATTTACTGCTCATCTACTTCCTCCCACCCTCCCACCTCAAGTAGATCCCAGTGTATGTTGATCCCCTCTATGGTCTGCAGATTGTATCAAAGGCTTAGTAAAGATGTAGATTTTTAGGTCCTTATCACAGCTTATGGATGAGATTTTCTGAGCAAAATGTTTAGGAATATGCATTTTAATTAGCTCCTCAGGTGGCTACTATGCAGACTCAAGTTTGAGAACCACTCCATGCAATGCAAATGAACTAGAAGATGACCTACAGTTAACTGTTACAGCTCCCTAAACATGTCCCTTAAAAGGGATGCACGTCAAAATAACTTTCTTTATCAAATAATGGCAATCTTTCTTAACACGGCAACTGACCATTTTATGGCAGCAATAATCTGTGGAAGCAATGGGTACATATGGGAATACTCTCAGTGTTGGGTTAAAAAGTATCAAATTGACTAATGTCTCATGTATTTATTACATAAATACCAATGTATTGCAAAGAAGCCATGGGCAGATCACATAAAACAGGAGGAATCATAATATAGTACTAAAACTACTATTAGGTCAATTAATTGCTAAAGTATGTTTAATGGAAAACAAATGGAGTTTTTATTATGTAATGATTGTGTGGGAAATTATTACAATTTATATTCATATTTCTTCAAATTATAATTTTTTAACGTAAAATTGGATTAAAAGTAACATTGAACTGTGATTGAAAATCATATAGGCTGGTTTATTACGCTGTCTTAAATTGTATTCCTGGAGGCAATACTACAAACTTCATGTCTCCAAAAGGCATTTCCTAAGTGCTACTTATCAGATGTCAGGTCTCAAGAAAACAAATTCCATGTACTTGTCTCAATATAGAGGAAATATTTGCCTAAAATCTATTGAATATGGAAGTGTATGCCTGTGCATTGAGCTATGAATTTTGAGTAAAGTTATTCCTTATAATGCCAGGCTATGTGGCAGAATATGTTAAATACTATTATATATAATGTTTATATCTTGAATGACTACTCATTATTCTACCATCCAACTACATAAGACAAAAAGAGGTTCAACTTTTAACGATACCCCATTTTAGTGACTAAATCTTTAAAAATTATTATAATAAAACCACATACCCCAAATGTAGCTGAGATGTTTTCATAATCTACAGCCCGTATGTGTTAGTATAACTAAGCCACATTCATAATTTTATGAAATCAGCAGTCTATGGCAGAAAAGGTACAATAGTCAGATAATTAACTACACTAATAAAAAACTTTCCAAGAAATCAAAAGACCTGAACCCTAGTTCTCCTACCACTAACTTCTCTTGAAAAATTTACTTTTCTTCCCTAAGTTTCATTTTTCTCAAGAGTAAAACGGAGTTGGCTAATGTTCCTCGTGGTTCTAGCAATCTCTGATTTGGGGTTAGACTGTGATTATACAGTTCCCAGCATTTTGTTCGCCTGCTCTAAGTCACTCAGTTCCCCGTTACTATTGGGCTGGAAGAAATTCACTCTAGGGCAGTAACAAGTTCAGTTAATTAGCACTCTACCTCACCACCATTCTCCAACAACAAGACAGGCAAAAGAATCATGTTTTTATTTAACTAAACACAGGGCAAAAACTAATCTGGTTGCTTCTTTTGTAGGGTTATAATGTCACTCTCTTAATGCAGGTTTAAAAAATCTCTGAGATAGTCTGTAGCATGATAATTGGTATCACTAACCTGTGCTGTACTCTTTTCAAGTTTTTGGACTAAATTATCCCAACACCGGGCAAAGTTATCCAGCCATGCTTCCGTCTTCTGGGTCACTGACTTATTCTTCAGTGTTGAAAGAAGATCTTGTTTGAGTGAATACAGTTTGCCCATGGATTGCTTTTTCTTTTCTAGATCCGCTTTTAAAACCTGTTAAAACAAGAAAGATCACAGAATAAGCCTGGGTTGCATTCCATACACCACTATAGTTCAATCTGCTTTTGCGTGTATTTGCTCATTTGCATAGATAAGAAAATATTTCAATCGTGCCCGCAAAGGATCAAAAGTTCAGAAAAATAGAGGTAGAAAGTTATAATCTATCTAATTATCCCAAGAAGTTTGAAGAGAAAAGAAGAGAAAAGAAACTCAAACGTAGAATAAAGACCTACTAGAGGTAATTAAGAGCTACCTTGAAATATTTGAAGAAAATCCAAGTGAAAAGGTAATATTGCTTCAAAAGGCAAAACAGAGATCAACATGTGGAAATTAGAAGGCACGGATCTTGGATTTCCCCTTAATTCCTGACGGAATTCAAACGAAAACTGACAATCAGGTACCAGGAGTACTGAAGAAAAGCTAGTGAGCTGAGAAAATGAGAATGGCTAAGGAAACTTGCCATTCTGAAATGCTGTGATTATTTGGATAAAATTACAATATTATTGTTTCCACAGTTTTAACATTCGGTTCATTATTTGGAGATAAAATCTCATTATGTGATTTACTGACCATAAAATTTTTGTAGCATCCATTAATCAATTAACATCTGGTTATTTGAGTAATTATTTTTTAAAACTAATTGTAGAGCCCATTAAGTAAAAGAACTAAGTCGCTGGGCATGACATAAATGCTTCAGCATCTCTTTTCAGAGTTTATAAATACTTATGTGTCTTATGAAGCAATTTTTATACCATTTATATTTCCAAAGTTCCTGTGAGCTGTGGAGGGTTACAAACTCCCTTTGGTTGATTTGAAAGGAATAAGTGGTTTATGTGAAATCAGTAAATCAGGGCAGTTTTTCTTTTACTTGACTCAGTAACTTTGCCTGATACACAGACAAATTCAATTCCTGGGTACTGAACATTACTCCCTGACTTAATCTGTAAACAAAGGAGAAGAAGGAAGAGAAATAAAGGAGAAAATTATCTTACAGCCACTTAACAACCCCATATTTGGCAGCAAATACAATGAATGTAAACTAAATCGCGATACCTGTCTTTCCGAAACAAATGTAAGTTTATTTAAGAACTAACATACCACAGAGCAAATTGTCATGACACAAATGCACCAATTGCCCATGAAGCAAAGTGCCCCAAACCTAGAGCAGTCAATACACCTTCCTGAAAAGGACAATCTAAGTAGCCCATTTTGGCATGGCACCTGCATTGATAGCTCTGAACTGCAGAATGCTCTAGTGGCTCCTTCAATTAGTTTGTCTTTTACTCAGAATCTGCTTCACCTGGAGTATGTTATAGTTCAGTCTTCATGCCATTTTTAAGGGGAAACAAAGCAAGATTTAAGTTTCATCTCTAATTTTTCCTTAACAATAAGTTCAGTATTTTTCTAAGTTTGAAAGAATGCAATAGACCAAAATACAAATTAAGATATTATACACTGAATTCAAATCAAAATAAAACTCACGGTGTGGGGGTTTAGCAATAGGTAGGTGGTTTTTCTTTTTTGTTTTGAGTTGGAGTCTAACTCTGTCGCCCAGGCTGGAGTGCAGTGGCATGATCTCTGCTCACTGCAGCCTCTGTCTCCCAGGTTCAAGCAATTCTCCTGTCAGCCTCACGAGTAGCTGGTATTATAGGCACATGCCACTAAGCCCAGCTAATTTTTAAATTTTTAGAAGAGACAGGAGTCTCAACATGTTGGCCTGGCTGGTCTCAATCTCCTGACCTCAAGTGATCCACCCGCCTTGGCCTCCCAAAGTGCTGGGATTACAGGCATGAGCCACCATACCCAGCCCAATAGATAGGTTTTGCATATTCATTTTGTTTAATTCACTTGTTAGTTTTCCATTAAATTTAAGTGAATATTTGCATTAGTACTAGAACAAAGGTTGATGCTACCTGTCCCAAGCTGAGAGCCATATTTGAATTTCAATGTATATTCCTCCAGTTATAGTGTCATTTTTTTTCTTTACTATGGAAAGAGGCACAATATACACAAAGACACAAATCTAAAAATAAAAAAAAAATCTAAGTACAATCCTCTTTGACTTACTTACTCAGAATGTTAGAAACTATTTTAAATAGCCATATGTGTAAGGCTGAATGGTCTACCCATTATTTAAACAAAATATGTAATGATTTGGAAACATGTCAGAAGAGGAGTGTGAGAATTATGTTTAAAGAAGAGGATTGCAATAAAAACCTATGAGTAACCTCATGGTACCTAAACAAATGAAAATAAGCCTCCTGTTTTATTATTAAGCCACATGAAGAAACATTTGGTAAGCATTACAAAAATGAAAGTGAAAGTCACCATTAAAAATAAAATTAGAGGTGGTGGCTCACGCCTATAATCTCAGCACTTTGGGAGGCTGAGGCGGGCGGATCACGAGGTCAGGAGTTCCAGATCAGCCTGGCCAACATAGTGAAACCTCGTCTGTACTAAAAATACAATAATTAGCTGGGAATGTTGGTGCATGCCTGTGGTCCCAGCGACTCAGGAAGCTGAGGCAAGGAATCGCTGGAACCAGGGAGGCAGAGGTTGCCCTGAGCCGAGATCACACCACTGCACTCCAGCCTGGGCAACAGAGCAAGACTCCATCTCAAGAAAAAAAAAAAAATCCAATTAGGAAAAAAGTGCACTCAAGGTAAAGTAAAATCAATGTTATAATTACATTGTGTGATTATTGAATAAATGAATTTTTATATGTCTGTATGACAAAAACACTGAACCCAGACTTATACCTAGTAAATTTTAGATATGAGTATCAAAAATGATGATGGCAGATTAGTTGTTTGGTCTCAGTTTCTCTCTCTTTTTCTGTCTTTCAGTAGTCATCTCCCAGTTCCAGAACTCCCCCAGGATTATTAACTGAGGGAGGAAAAGAAAGAAAATCCATGATGGGGCCAGATACATTAGATCATAGAATTCATTAGAATTACCTTGTCCTGTCTATCCATTGATGCTGATTCTTTTAAGCTTAGGTCTTACATGTGCATATTAAATAACTATGATTTGTTACTAATTATTGCATAAAATATGTATTTCTACATATCAATAATTAACCATAGGTCTATGAGTGCCAGAGACCCATAGAGCTCTAGAAAATTCAGGTGGCAAAAGGAAGATCTAGAGAATGTGTACAAGGCAAAGGCCAGCTGGGATAGTAAAAGAATAAACAGACTTTATTTTTATAGAAGCCAGGAATGTAGACCTACCTCCAAGGTAGGGAGGAAGGTACAGTCAATAAATCAGACTGGGTCAGTAGTGGATATGGAGAAGAGACAGATAAGCTGTTCAAGATGATTTGAAGTGAAAAGATAATGTATCCTTACAAAAGGCCCAGGAAACCTTCACCTCACTCTCATCAGGAATACGCATAAGAGAATAATGCCAAGACAATTTCTCCTATATTGGCAAAATTGAGTTTTCCACCTATATTATGTGTAGTTACTTATCTACATGTAAGATGTGCTCCAATTCATTCTAATCACCAGTTGTACTTTGGGAGGTTGATCTATTACAGAGGTTCTCATCTTGAAAGAACATCAGAATTACCTGAAAGGCTTGTTAGAATGCAGATGACTAGGCTCCACTTCCAGAGTTTCTAAATCAGTAGGTCTGAAGATGGCCTAACAATGTGCATTCCTAACAAATTTCCTTGATACTGATGCTGCCGGTCGGGGGAACACATTTTGAGAAGCATTGATCCTGTCTGAATTAATTATTTGAGGGCCATCCCAGGAGTTGAGGTAAAGGTAGCAAGTCAAACAGGAACTTGCTCAGTTACCATGAGCACTTCATCCATGTCCTTTGATCCCACAGCCATTTGAGAATATCTTCAATTCCTAAGTACTTCTGTAGCCCTTATATACCATAATCTCTTGGATCACCCTGCTTCCCCAGAGCTGTCCTTCCCCAGCAAACGCCAACAGTCCCCACAGCAGAAATACATTTACTCAGGAACAGGTTTCTTCTTGACTTGGATCTTCCCACGATAATTTACGTGATTCTACAAGTCTTATAATTCACCTCATAAAAGCTACTGTTTCTTCTTTCCCTTCATTTTTATCCCTGATGCCAAATCAGTTTAAAACTTAAATCAGTTTTGATTATAAAAAATAATAGATCTACATGATTTGGATATGAATCCCAAAGATCTAGAGCAAATTAAATGTCATAATCCCCACCTCCCACCTCAATGGCAAGCAGGACACAATCCCATGGGTTATCAGTGATACTATTTTGAAACAAATTACACTTATTGTAAAGAGAAGAGAGTTTAGCACAGTGTATCTATACCTAGACATGTAGTGAAAACTGGTGACAGATGGTACCTGTTTTGGGTCTCAGATTGTGACATATTTTAATGAACATTAAATTCTTATTCACTGCCTGAGTCAGCAAAGGAATTTTACCTCAAATTCTAGACCAGCTGTCAGGTTTTGTTAATTGGCTTAAACTATCAAATGACAAGACCTATAGAAAACATATTTTCTCTTTGTTCACAAGCAAGGTGACATAACACAAATTTTAATCCTATTGGAAAATTATTGACTTTCTTAAAAGAGCATTTTTATGGCCCTGAGGCTAGCCAAGATTTCTGCTCACAAAAATGTTAACATAGAGGCACATTATTGTTAGAAATGACAGTTCTCAGTTGCAGTTATTTTTTCCAAGGAATCAACTGATATGAGGACTACTGAAATAGATTGAAAGGCCTGGACCTGAGTCTGGATGTCTTAGTGTTCATTTTAAGTCTGATACTAATGTTGTAGGATACAGATCCTGTGTTTTTTCTTGATCTCGATTTTCTCTTGGAAACAAACTGAGTAGATGGTCCTAATGAACTTTACATGTGTAATGAGATTGAAGAAACACTAGATGAGATGCAAAATCTCATCTAGCTTTAACATATTTGGATTTTGTCAGTTTGTGGCTTCCTAAGAACAACTTTCTTGATTGGTAAATCTAGTCAACAATATATGCAGGAACTTTGACTAGATATTAAGATTTGGAATTTATCATCATGTAAAATAACTGTACTATTCTGGCATGTGGTACTTTCCAAAGATGGCTGTAAAATATCCTCATCTCAGATGCTTTGCTATAACTTGACCTTGGTGTTTCTCCATGAGGAAATGAAATCTAATTCCCTTTTCCTTGAATCTGGGCAGGCTTGTGACTTTTTCAGCACACAGAATATGACTGACCATCACCATTATGATTGACCGTCTGAAGCACATGATTCTGTATTTAACTAGCAATATATCTTCGCTCCTAATCAGAGGGCATGACTGCATTTTGATAATCAGTGGTCACTCACTTATTTACTGAAAGGATTCACATTTTGCCTGAGAAGAACAATGTTTGTAAGGAATATTCTGCTTTAAGGAGATGTAATCCATGCATCCATTCCTCTAGATATGATAGAATCCCTCATGAATTTATCCTCTCCTCTCTGTGGCATGTGACAGTGTGTACCACTTCCTACTTTTTTGAAATCTTTATTCTCCTCACTTTTGTGATACCACTTTCCCCTTGTGGTATCTGCTCAATCTTTTGGTCAACATCTTATCCTCTGCCTACTCCTTGATTGTAGACATTCCTCCCTGAAATCTATTCGTTTCACTTAATGTGTCACTCTACACAATCCCTCAGAAGCATTTTGATTGCTTCTGAATCAATAACTAGTCATGAACCATTTTCTGAGATTCTAGTTGTGTAAACCAACTGATTAATGGAAAGGATTTTTAACTTGGATGTCTCAAAGACATTTTACACGGAATATATCCAAATCTGAAATAATTATCATTTTTGTCATTCCAGCAATTCCTCTTCTATTCTCCTGTTAGGGCTAATAACCCTCCTAGGAACCCAGTCACCCAAATGAAATGTCTAGGAACCATTTCAAACTTCTGCCTCTTATCACAAGTTTCATTCATCACATCTTAACATTCTAATGTTTCTCTTCTTATCTTAATGCCCAATGCTACTTAGTTCAGGTCTTCTGATTAGTCCTCGTACCATCAAACATCTTCCTACCAAAAAGAATTACAAAAATGCAAATATGATTCTTTTGCAAACTCTCAATGGCTCCCCATCAGCTGCAGGCCAAAACTACAAATACAGCTGATATTTTTGCACTCGTGTTTTCAAACATATACAGGTTACTTTTCTGAACTCTATTTTCGGCAGTCACATCACTTAATAAAGTCCATATTCTTTGAGCAATAATTTCTTATCAATAATAAGCTAGCTTGTAATAACAAGTAATACATAAGTGAATCTATTTTAAATTAAAAGACCAATGAGGGTTAGCATTTATGGAGCAAAAAAAATGTATGAAACAAATAAATAGCTGGTAAAATGGTACGTATTTAAAATGAGTGGAAAAATTTACTTAAGTTTAGAAATTATTGCATTATTATGAAGTACAATGCAATAATAAAGGTGAAATTATGGAACACTACTTACAACCATTTTGTTTTATAAAAGTTCATATCAAATGAACATTTAATCAAATCTATCAAAAATTTTAAGAAATCATAAAGTAGAATATGTCACGTGAAAAATTAAACTCATAGTATCAGACCGGCCTCTTTTACTAGAAATGATAAAATTCACAGAGTAAGAGAAACTTTAGAGTTTTTTTTTTTTTTTTTAAATCTTGGAAATTCCTGCTGAAACCAAATGCTTCAATGAAGTCTTTTCTGAAATCCATTTATTGCCAAAGAAATCTCATTCTCAAAACACTCGAGGTATTTATAATCAATGTCATTTGATAGGCTTTAATTTTTTTTTGCTTGAAAAACTAGGTGATATTGTTTGGATCTCTGTTCTCCAAATCTCATGTTGAAATGTGATTCCCAGCATTGGAGGTAGGGCCTGGTGGGAGGTGATTGGCTCATGAGGGCGGATGTCTCATGAATGGCTTAGCACAATCCCTTTCATGATGAGTCAGTTCCCATTCAGTTAGTTCACATGAAATCTGGTTGTTTAAAAGAGTCTGGGACCTTCCTCTTATCTCTTTTGTTTCCACTCTTGCAATGTGATATACACTGGCTCCCCTTCTCCTTCTGCCATGATTGTAAGCTTCCTGAGGCACTTACCAGGAGCAGATGCTGGTGTCATGCTTCTTGTACAGCCTGCAGAACCATGAGCCAGTTAAACCTCTTTATTTCATAAGTTACCCAGTCCCAGTCTCAGGTACCCCTTTATAATAAACTAAGGTTAAACTCCATCAATGTCAGGATAACCGTCGCTTGTAACTCTCACATATTATTCTGAGAATCAACGTCAGTCTATTTTTTTAGAACTATGCTGCTTAGAACTTTATGAAAGGCTCACAGACATTTCTTAGTATTACTTTATTAATTTTAATTGAAGTCTTATTCTGGTATGCTATGTTTTATCAAGAGTACAACTTTGAAAAACAAAGTTGAAAATCCACCTATAGTTTTTTCCCACTTTAATTCAGAAAAGTAGCAATATAACATCTTTGAATAATCTATGATCCAAGCAAAAATAAACATTTAATATTCAATAGCATAGAAGAGACTAAATAATAGTGATAATATACAGTACTGGGTTTTTATAAGACCATTGAAAGCTAGAAAGTACATACGGCCAGTTTTTGAAGACTTGATAACATTTCATTTTGATCTTTAAAGCCAGTTGTGTGAATCTTGTTCACTGCATCTTCTTTTTCTGAAAGCCATGCACTAAAAAGGCACTGCAAGACATTAAAGAATTCCAAGGAATAAATAAACATAAATCTTTACTTTTCCAATTTAATATCCCCCCGTGTCTTTTACAGCTAGTTTCTCACACATGACACACCTGTTCTTCAGTAAGACGTTGCCATTTGAGAAGGATGTCTTGTAAAAGAACCCAGCGGTCTTCTGTCCATCTACAGATGTTTGCCCATCGATCTCCCAATACCTGGAGAAGAGACAATCAAGCACAGCATCAGCAAACAATTGGTAACTACGTTTTATTAAAAATGGCATGAATAATTTGCCAAAGTATCTCAGTCTCCTATGTACGCTAGAAGTTGGAAGGGACACTCTTTCTGATCTGCTTACATTTAAATAAGTGGTGTGACTGTCATTTGTCTTTATCTCACCAAGTCTTGTACCTTTCATAGAAAAGCAAAGAGACAAGCAATATGAAGTGGTTATTATACCACTATATAAAATGGCTCCATAGCAAATGTAAGATAACAAAGACATACATATAGAGAGGATTTTGCAGTGAGAACAAGTAAAAGGTGTATTTTCCTTAGGTTTGAAAATACACCCTAAAGAATAAAAGTCTAACTACTAAATAGAATGCCTCAAAAGACTCTTAATTGAAACAATCTTGCATAATGAGAATTGCCTACCATTTGGATTGTAGAAGAAAATTCTTAGTAACTTAAATTCTATTACTATGTAGATTTTTCAATTTTCTCAATTATTACAAAAGTATTAAAATTTTCTGTTTCTAAACTACTCTAGTGAGAAAACTAACAATCTCTGAGTAAAAACTACTATATCATTAACATGTCACTAATGTCTAAGAACACACACTATTTTAATATGTAACATAAACCAACTATCAATGATTTTTGGAAGGAAAACAAATATTGTGATGCTTTCTATGCAAAGGAAGCATTTCAAAATGGCAGTTAGCTCAACCTCATTATGATGCACTTTATAGCCTGAATTTTCAACTTTTTGTAACTTTTTCATATAAATAAGAAACTTATTTTCTCATATATATATTGGACCTTTAAAGCTAGAAATCATAAAATATTGACGTGCTTTATTTTATATAGAATTAGAGTTAGAAAAATGTTTATAACTCATATTTTTGAAAAATCTACTCAGTGTCTAAGGTCTCATAATTTCTATGTTACTTTATACTACATATGTGTATTAACCCACCTAGAGGATATTAACACATGATTTAAACAATGCAAATGAAATTAGCATCATGAAAATAATCCACCTATTTTTTTTTTTTTTGTAGACAGAGTTTTGCTCCTGTCACCCAGGCTGGAGTGCAATGGCACTATCTCAGCTCACTGCAACCTCCACCTCCTGGATTCAGGGAATTCTCCTGCCTCAGCCTCCCCAGTAGCTGAGATTACAGGCATCCACCACCATGTCTGGCTAATTTTTGTATTTTTAGTAGACACGGGGTTTCGCCATCTTGGCCAGGCTGCTCTCGAACTCCTGACCTCAGGTGATCCACCTGCCTCAGCCTCCCAAAGTGATGGGATTACAGGCATGAGCCACTGCACCTGGCCCTAATCCACCTATTTCTAAGTGACTAGGAGAGTCACGTTTCTTAAATTGTTTAATCTATCACCACTTAAAAAAAAATACACGCATGGGTAAACAGAAGGCAGTCAACATTTTCCTACAGTATTAACATAATCATGTACTTATATGCAGCTCAATCATAAGTGAGTTTTCAGTTTTTCTTCATAAATATCAATGTTATTGCTTTCAGCATAATGTAACTGTTAATTTTTTGTAGTTTCACTTTCTACTCAACTTATTTTGAATTATGTTTACAATAAAAGCCATAGCGCTCAAACAGTGATGCGAGATACCCACAGGAAATGTGCGAGCTTAAATCAATGAATTTAGTCACTTCAACCATCTAATTATTACGAAGCAGTATATATAGGTTTTTTCTAAAACATACTTGCATTTTTTTAGCTAACTTCCTAGTGACCCTGTCAGTGCATGTCAGGTAAAATGGCACGTAACAAAATGGTTAATAGATTAGTTGTGGGAGAAAAAAGCTTCAAATGGAGAAAATCTTATCTCTTAAGTATAAACTACACCATCTACCTGACGTGATGATGCAGATCTACAAAGTCAAAATGTGGGAAATTTATTGTAGCCCATCAACTCCAGTGAAGAAGACAGTCAAGGGAAGAAGGGACAAACTCAAGCTATAGCATCATATTCATAAACAAAAAAGACTTTCAAGTATATATAGCATCTTCTCTCTAGTGCTACAAGACATATAGTATCCACTGAAGCAGCATTTTAAGCTTGTAACCCCATAGGTGGAAATGTATAATTTATTAATTTTAGTGGGAATACAAATCCAAATAAAGATCCCCTATTCCAGGTTGTATAACATTTTCAAATTTATTGAAATTCTGAGATGTACTAATGGGATGCATTTAATATTGCAGTTTTGTTCACTGTATGAGTCACAAAAAACTAATAGAGTAGTTCTCCTTTATCCATAGGGGATATGCTTCAAAATCCTCAGGTGGATGCCTAAAACTGCAGGTAGTACAAAACCCTATATATAGTATTTATGAATTTATTTTTCTTTCTTCGCAATTTCACGGATAGACTTGCTCTTACCACAGATTTTGAGCAACCCCAGCATGCGATTTTTTTCTTGCCTTATTAAGTTGGGAACCTTTTCACATAAAGAAAACCCTTCACAGTTTTTCTTTGGCATATTTGAACTGCCACCATAACTACTCTTGCACTTTGGGGCCATGACTAAGTAAAACTAGGGTGACTTGAACACAAGCACTGCGATACCATGACAGTGTTTCTAAGAACCTAGACAGGTACTGAGTAATGGGCGGGTAACATTGACAGCATGAAGACGCTGGACAAAGGGGTGATTCAGTCCTGGGTGAGACAGAGGTGGGATAGCACAAGATTTCATTATGCTACTCAAAACAGCATGCAATTTAAAATTTATGAATTGTTTATTTCTGGAATTTTTCATTTAATATTTTCTGACTGTGGTTGACTGCCAGTAATTGAAGCCAAGGAGAGCAAAACCATGGATGAGGGAGGGAGGGAGGGAGGGAGGGAGGGATTGCTGTAATTAAACACTCTTTTAGGTACATAGGCAACCTATTTAACATAACTATTTAAAAAATGCCACTTAAAGTGTTCTTTATATCCAAATAATGGAGCAAGTTTATGATTCAGCTAATATCTAGGTTACAGTTAATGACAGCCATCAATGCATTCATTCATTGATCATGAATTTATTATATAACAAATATGTACCAAATATCTGGATATGCCAAATATTAAGAGAAGATGTTACAGGCTCAATTGTGTCCCATGAAATCCATGTTGAAGCCCTATGCCCCACCTACTACATCGGAATGTGCCCATATTTGGAGATAGAGCCTATAAATAGACCATTAAGTTACAATGAGTCTATTAGGGTTACTCTAGTCCAATATGATGGGTATCCTTATGAGAAGAGGAAATTTGGACACAGCAAAACACCAGGGATATGTGCAACACAGAGGAGAGACCACGTGAGGATACAGGAACAAGGCATTCATCTGCAATCCAAGGAGAGAGGCCTCACAAGAGACCAATCCTTGCCAGTACCTTGGTCTTGAACTTCTGGCCCCCAGAATGGTGAGAAAGTGTTTGTATTGTTTAAGCCACCAGTCCATGTTATTTTTTAATGATAGCCCTCACAAAGGAGTAATACAAAAGACAATTAAGATAGATGGATTCTTTTTCAAGAAATACTTGGCTAAATGTCTGTCGAATAATAATACCAACCCGTTAAAGAATTGCAAATGTTAAACAAGAGTATGTATGGGAAAGTATTATTAATTTGAAACAAGTTATTTAAGAGTTGGTCGTTGTTTACAATTTGCTTGATCATGGTTCTTACATCAAATCTAAGAACTGCCAAGGGTCATCTATTTTACTGTATTCACTGTAGAAAGGCACCCATTAAATCTTTACGAATAAATGTTTAGTCTTCAAGTATATTCTTTAAAGGTTTCCAACACAAGACAGCATGAACACATATCCTTTAGTAACATATTCTATTGCTTAAACCTATCTTACTCTTAGAAAATACTCAATGAATTGAATCTAAGTCACTTCTGTAGCAAGGCAGGCATAGTGCTTTCCACTGATCTCAGTGTAAGCGGAAAAGTGAATTAGAAATTACTTGCTCATACGCTGTAAACATCTGCCCATACATTTTTGTGATGCCATATGCACAAGTATAAATAGATAATACACGAAGTGCTTTAAATTTATGGATTTACCTATTTATTGCTTAGCAATATTGGCCTTAATTTGAATTACAAAGAATGAAGCAAAGCAATTGGAAGACTATATCCCTCAGCTCTGGAATCACTCAAAGATGCTGGTTCCTATCATTGCCTGAATGGCTATAACAAAATTGTTAGACAAGTGTAAGAAATTGGATAAAATGGGGCTAATACATATATTTTTTAAAGAACCACTGTATTAGGATTAGAAACCTCTTCTCTAGAGAAAAAAAAAATATGTAACTTCAACTCTGTTTCTCTGAGTTTCTATTTACGTATAGGAATCCCTTGAGCTTTTAGCAATAATGCATATTTTTATAGAGCTAAACATTCTACACATAAATGTAAAACCAATGAATTACAAAGTCTCACAAAATGGTAAAAGAAGTTAATTTTTATTTATATTCTCATTTTGTCTCAGCAGTAAGTGAAGCTAAAGGTCAGCTCACTTCGTCTAACATTTTCATGGACTAAATCACAACTCCATTATCGTCCATGCTCAGATCCACAACGGGGAGGATTTTTTCCTCCCATTTAATTCACATGTCATATTGTTGTACGTGCCAAGGACATTTCTCATCTGAATTCCTTTGTTTGGTTGAGTTGCTATTTCAATTCAAAAGTGAAAAATGGCTACTAAAAGAACATTTGGATAAAGGTAACTGAGGAAAATCTGACAAGCCTGGGAGGTAAATCTTAAGTATGGTGACCCTTGAATTTACTGGAGCCAGGGATAGAATATGAAACCTAAACTGTGCCCATCAGTATTGGCGTTAAGAGATAGAGTGTTCCCAGGCGTATATCCACTAAGGCGGAAACAATTATGTGCCATGGACCACACAATGCATCAGCAACGGGGCTTTATGAAAGAGGGAGGCAGAAAACAACCCATCTTATTTTATTGCAGGTTAAGACCCTATAATACACTTCTCTGCTAAATGAATTTTATGTGTAATGAGCCCTCTGAAAATCCCTTATTTCTTGATTTTTCTCTTACTTTATCAACAACTATGCAGTTAAAACGTATAAGCAACTTACTCTTACTGATGTTGAAATGGAAATCACATCAAAAACCATTGAAAAAAACAAAAATCCATTATGAGGCAGAAATGTGGCAGAGTCCTACTGAATAGTGTTTAGCCAAGGGTATGGCTTGGTTCTCAGTTTTACACATTTCTACAAACTGAACTGAAGCACCATACTATAAAATGGTGTACCTTATATCTTCACTGTATAACATATGGTACAGGGCGGATAAACCTATTTTGATGAGTTATGAAACAACTACTGGAAGTTTTTTCAAAAGTATAATTCTTACTTCTATTTAAATGATCCTGTAATAATCTCCTGTCTGAACTCAAGGAATTTTTAGCTGTCACTTCCAAAGGGGCAGGTTACAGATGAGGAAACTGACAGATAGGTTAAGTAACTTGTCTGAGGTCACAGAAGCCACAGTACTGAGTGTCTGGGATTTGACCTCAGATCCATTTGGCTACAAGTTCATGCTCGTTCATAATGGTATTCATTCAGTAGGGCATTCATTATAAAAGATATGCCTTCTAATTTGTGCTACACAACCTACAGTGAGATATCCAGATGCCGAATCCCTTTGGAGTCTTTTCATATTTTGTTTTAGCAGAAGTTTGACTAGATTTAACATTTAATCTAATCTGCTTCACAAGGATGTGAAGCTTAATGTTATAATTTGATTCAAAAACATTTGACACTGTAACTCTGTATTTGTTTAATCATAAAACGTCAGCAAATACTTGCACTTCCAGATTAAGAACATGTGGCCTTTGCAGGACTTATTTTTAAAAGGTAAGTATGACTGATTTGTTCATTAAATTCTGCCTTTGCAATTGTGCTGAAAGTGTAGTGAGATTTTAACACGAAGAAGCATGTTCTTCTCTACGCTATTTCAGTCAGTTTCCTATATTATTTATTTGTGTGAGTATACAAAGTGCTAATGAATAAATCTGGAAAAGCCTTTTGTTGTTGTCACTGCTGTTATTCTTTGCAGGATATTATTTAATGTCTTTTTTTTTTTTTTTTGGCAGCTTAATAAACTCTGTACTCTCCAGCTCCCACCAGTCTGTTCAATTGGGATACCAGAAAATAAAGAGCAGGAGTTCTAAGGAGCATTCCAGCGTAACAGTGTTCCTTCCAGCATTCATCACATTCCCAGGCATTCCTTGGTAGCTTGAGGTTTCCTCTTCCTTATCGTTTTATACCTCGCAGACTCTGAGCTCCTTGAGGTGGGCTCCTTACCTTTGAGGTTAATGTCTTGCACAAATATCCCAAAACTGAATACTACTACTGTCGTTATCAATAGGTGGCTTTCCCCACCCAACTTTTGTCTTAGAACCATCTTTTTTGGATCTTTCAATCTGCTAATCATTACATAAAGTATAAACTTCCTGCATTCCCACTTCAGTTCTACTGTTGCCCAACTTTGTAATATCTGTGAACAAACTCAATCTTGCTGTGCTTTAGTTTTCTCACCAGTGAAATAGAGATAATAGTACAGACTCTCCTAGACAGGTAACTGCTAGGGTCAGATAGATCAATAAATGTGAAAGTGCTCTTAAATCTGTGATGAATTATTGAGATGCTTGTGATAGTAAGGATTTAGAGCTCAGTCGATAAAAAAATCAGCCTTTATTCCAGATGTGATAAATCTGGAGCATGATAGAATTTTAATATAGAACACAGTGAAACATTTTAGAAGGACAATTAATGATAATTTTTTTTGCATTTTTTTCTATACTTGATAAAGCTTATGTTTTATACAAGAATTGAAAATTTTTACCTTTACAATTTTAAACAACAGGGCCATATTCCAATAGGTATCCTTTTTTTCTTTTTCTTTGAGACAGAGTCTTTCTCTGTCCCCTAGGCTGGAGAGCAGTGGCGCGATCTCGGCTCACTGCAACCTCCACCACCCAAGTTCAAGGGATTCTTGTGCCTCAGTTTCCCAAGTAGCTGGGATTACAGGTGTGAGACACCACACCTGGCTCTTTTTTGTATTTTAGTAGAGATGGGGTTTCACCATGTTGGCTGGTCTCATCTCAAACTCCTGACCTCAAGTGATCTGCCCGCCTCGGCCTCGCAAAGTGCTGGGATTGCAGGCGTGAGCCACTGAGCACGGGCTCCAAAAGGTATCTTATTTGAAAGCAAGTGCATAGAAGATAAATATCCCTCTATGTCTCATGCCAACTCTTGACATCACAACTTTTCATCCACAAGAAATCACAAATTCTAACGTACATACCTAATAAAATGCATAAGATAATGTAGGTGTAACAGAATAGGTAGTAATGGGGACTGTGGCTAAATGAAGAGCCTGTGCTAGAGAAAACAGGGCAACTTGACTCCTGCTCTGGTTACTATGTAGAAAAACAGACTAAGGATCATCAGATCATTTGCTTTCTCTAGAGAGGTTAGAAATTCTTAGTTCATGTCACATTTTTTTCAATTTCAAACAATGGTAGCTAATAAACTACTATTAAATACCATAGGGACTAAATAGAACTTTATCTAAATACATCTGTAATTTTAGATGCAATAGACCAATTCCTAGAAAGACACAAATGATTCGAGCTGACTCCAAAACGGAAAATCTGGAAAAATGTAATGTTGAAATTCCAATTAAAAATGGACATTTTTATGTGTATTAAATACATAAAAATTTAATTTTAAAATTTCCCATTTGCAAATTCCAGTTATGAAGCCAGTTACCAAGCCTGCATAATCAGGTACTTAAACCTAGCAAGCATATTACAAGAAAGGAAAATAACAGGCCAATCACTTTCATGGACGTAAAGGAAAAACTATGAATCAAAGAAAATCTAGCAATACACAAAAAAGATTATACGTCTTATCCAGGTTTAGTTTATTACAGGAAGAAAGGCTTTTTTAGCATTAGAAAACTAAGTCATGTGATTTGACATATAGCAGAATAAAGAAGAAAAATACGACCATCTCAAATGATTCTGGAAAAATATATGATAAAATTTGGCATCCGGTAGTGATAAAACCTCTTAGAATATTAAGAACAGAAGGTATCTACAACAAACCTACAGGAAAGATCATACTTAATGATTATTTATTAAAGTTCTTCCCTCTGAGACTTAAAATGAGAAATAAATATCCACAATACTCCCATTGTACTAGAGTATTTATACAGTACAATATGTCAGGGAAAATTAATGACATGAAAAATAATTGGAAAGGGAGAAAGAAAACTGTCATTACTCAAAAACAACCTATATATGTACATCTGAATAATACTACAGATAATGTATTCAAATTATTAAGTAAATGTAGCATGGTACCTGGATACAAGACCAAGAAAAAAAATCAACTGTATTTCTTTATATCAGCACAAATAGAAAATGAAATTTCAAAAATATATTCATAACAGCAAAAATATAAAAACCCAAGAAATAAATCTCAGAGAAAGTTTAAGAGCCTTTACTTTAAAAACTATAAAACATTATTGAGAGAAAATAAAGACCTAACTAAATGAAAGGATTGAAAGACTTTACATAATAAAAATGTTGATTCTGTACAAGTTGATCCAGAGAATAGATGAAATCCAATTAAAACCACAGCAGATTCTTTTTGGGGGCAGGGTTCACAAGCTGTTCTTAAAATTCATATGGAGATCGAAATGGCCAAAAGCAGTCAAGATAATCTTTAAAAAGGAAGAAAATAAAATGGCTTTTACTGACCAACTGACCAAAACAAACTTAATGTGACTAAACTCTAGACAGGCTTTTATTTGACTATAGGCTCCTGACCTCTCTTTTCTTAGAGCGCTTACTTTAGGGAAACTTGCAACCAAAAACATATTCTCTGCCTCTTTGAGATGTAAATCTTCTACAATCCGGGAATATCTTTCTCAAGGACCTAGGAGCCATCTCTTTGAAATGTAATTGTTAATGATAGCACGCCTATCTCCCAGTCTCTGTGGGACAGTAGGAGCCTAACTTCATTAAGTGCCAATTAACAATCACAGATTGCCTAATCACCATCCTAACCCCCTAATATCTTCCAGTATTTTTCTACTAGCTCTCCTCAGTGCTTAAATTCTCTCCTGTCTTTCTTTCAGTAGAAATGATTTCCATCTCTCTCTCCTATGGCAATAGTCTTGATCCATAATTCAGTAGTCTTGAATAAAGTCTTTCTTGCCTGTTTGTCTGGTGCATTTTTTCTTTTACAATATTACCAGATACAGGCTGGGCCTGGTAGCTCACGCCTGCAATCCCAACACTTCGGCAGGCCGAGGCTGGCAGATCACCTGAGGTCAGGAGTTCAAGACCAACCTGACCAACATGGTGAAACCCTGTCTCTACTCAAAATACAAAAAAAATTAGCCAGGCATGATGGTGGGCACCTGCAAACCCAGCTATTCAGGAGGTTGAGGCAGGAGAATTGCTTGAACCAGGGAGGCGGATGTTGCATTGAGCTGAGATCTTGCCACTGCACTCCAGCCTGGGTAGAAACAGCGAAACTCCATCTCAAAAAAATATTACCATATATTAAAACTTGTCATAATGCTATAGTAATTAAAACAATGTGGAATTAGCATGAGGACAGGCAAGTAGAGAAATAAAACTGATTAGAGTCCATAAACTGATCCATGCACGTATAGGCATTTTATTTCTAATATTTTCGTCAAAGATGACACCACAGAATATTGAGGAAAGGATGGTCTTATTGAAAATCTTTGCAATAAGACCATCTTTTCCTCAATATTCTACAGTGCCAACTTGTTGTTTCAGTTGGATCTATATGGGAAAAAATGGACATTCATCCCTTCCTCATACCTGTAATAATAGGTGGATTGTAATACGAAAGGTAAAACAAACAGTTCCTATATAGCAACCCAGGACCATAGCTTCAGAATTTTAAAGTAGAGAGTTTTATTTTTAAACTGAGGACAAAAGTACACTAAACATAACAGAAAATATTGAAGTGAACTATGTTAAATTTAAACTTCTGTTTATGAAGAGATATATCATTACGGAGTGAAAAGGCAAGGTACCCATTCAAAAAGAAAAATGTAATATAAACAGCAAAGAATACCCAGAATATATATATTTTAAACTAAAATAAATCAGTAAGAGAAATATAGAAAATCCAGTAGAAAAACAGGCATTTCAGAGAAGAGTTCATTTAAATGGCCAATAACAACTGAAATAGTATTCCGCCTCACTGGTCATCAGTATATACAAATGAAAAATGAGAGATGACATTATAAAGTCACCAGAAAGGCTCAAATTAAAAAGTTTAACAAACAAGTATTCAAGAAGATATGAAGCAGTTTGTACTTTCATTTACTACTGGTGAGAATATGAATTTATACAACTTTGGAAAACCCTTTGTTAATATCTTGAAAGCTAAATATGCATATACCCAATGATTAAGAAATGCTATTCTTAGGTAAATACCTAATACAAAAGTTTACATATATACACAAAAATATACGTACAATTTATGTTGATAGATGAATTATTTGTAATGCTTCCGAACTGGAAACAACCCCAATTTTCTGAACAGAATATGTAAAATGTGGTATATTCATACAAAGTAATTCTATCCAGCGATGAAAATTAATAAAGTAATGCTATATGCAACATAGTGAATCTCACAAATATAGTATCCAGTGAAAAAAGCCAGTTAAAAAACTGCATATATAAAAGTTTCATTTACATCAAGTTAAAAATATAGCAAGACTAACCTGCAGCATTATAACTCAAGATACATGTTACCTTTGAGGAGATGGGAAGAGTTTATGATACCATAGGGCTTGATGGAGGTTTCCTGGTTGCTGGTAACATACTATCTTTTTCTGGATGTGGAATCATAGTATGTTACTTCTGTAATAAGTCTTTAAGCTATAATTATAACTTATGTCCTTTGCTTGATACTTCAATTTAAAAAGTACCATAAAGTTTGCATTTTTTTTTCAGAACCATCAACAGATAAACAGATAACAGGTTATATATACATAATGCAATGTTATTTGGCCATAAAAAGGAATGAAATATAGCTATTTGCAACAACATAAATGGAACTGGAGGTCATTATGTTAAATAAGCAGGCACAGAAAGACAAATACCACATGTTCTCATTCACATGTGGGAGCTAAAAAATTGGATCTCATAGAGCTAGAGATTAGAATGATAGATACTGGAGACTGGGAAGAGTGTGTGGATGGAATGAAGAGAGGTTGTTTAATGGGTACATACGCTTAGATAGAAGGAATAAGTTCTAATGTTCGATAGCAGAGTAGGAAGACTATATAATTATATACAACAGTGTAACAAAATATCACATGTACTCTATAAGTATGTACAAATATTATGTATCAATAAACTTAAAAATTTTTTGTAAATGTATTAACACTTGCATTCATAAAGAATATTATTGGCCGGGTGGCCGGGCGTGGTGGCTCACGCCTGTAATCCCAGCACTTTGGGAGGCCGAGGCTGGCGGATCACGAGGTCAGGAGATCAAGACCAACCTGGCTAACACAGTGAAACCCATCTCTACAGAAAATACAAAAAATTAGCCAGGCGTGGTGGCAGGCGCCTGCAGTCCCAGCTACTCGGGAGTCTGAGGTAGGAGAATGGCATGAACCCGGGAGGCAGAGCTTACAGTGAGCCGAGATCGCGCCACTGCACTCCAGCCTGGGTGACAGAGCAGGACTCCGTCTCAAAAAAAAAAAAAAAAAAAAAAAAAAAAAAAGAATATTATTGTTCCAGCATACTTGCTTATATTTCCCCTGTAATTTTGTATGGTGGGTATTATGATCACTGTTATCTTTGAGTTTCATTTGATAATTTTTATCATGAGAGAATTTATTGTTCAACTCATAAATTATAAAGTCAGAATAGAAAACAGATTGAGTAATCCAGACATTGTGTTCTTTCAAATCTACCTAACACCCTATTGGCCAAATGTATTACAACAGACCGTGTATTAACATAAATTGAAATCTAGCGTTAACTGTATACTTACAGCACATTGGCTTTGGATGTTCAAATTTCATTAGAATATTCAACATTTATTTATACTTGATACAATGTGCAGTTGAAAAAACAATGCACATATCAAAGCTGATCAAAACATACTCAAAAGTTTTCTAATAACTGAATCATGTGCCATTTTATATTTAAGTAAATAAAATAAAAAATCCAGTTCCTCAAGCATACCAGTCACAATTCAAGTGCTCAAAATAGCCAAAGGTGTATAGCAACTTCCTTACTGAACAGTGTCGTTCTAGAAAAGAAAAAAATTTTATATACTAATGCAATCGAGTGTGACAGGTGTTAATATATATATACTGCTTATATAAACTATATACATATATAAACCATTCTCTTCTAGAACAGTGTTGTTCTAGAAGAGAAAAATATTTATGTACTAATGCAATTGAGTGGGACAGGTGCTAAAATAAATAAATATATATGTTTATATTATATATATTTGTACTTGTAAATTTAACTCATTCATGCAAATGCTATATCTATTCATATATATATGAATAGATATTGCATTTTATACAGATAGATAGTATTTGCATGAATGAGTTAAATTTACAGGTACGAATACATTACTGTGTTACATAGGTTTCTGTATTCCCCCGTTGCTGATTAGTAAACCAAAACTGAAAAAAATCACATAATTTTCACAAGGCCACATAGCAAATTTCTACTATGAATTTGAGAGATTGGGAGAAATCTCAGGTTGAGTTGTCACACATCTGAATACCAGTGTCAGCCTTGCCACCTGCAAGCTATATGAACTTGGATTTAACTTCATTATGCATTGGCTTTCTCATTTGTGATATAGGGTTGGCATTACATACAAAGCATGTAAAACTCCTGAAAAATAATAATCTAATAATTATAATTATTGCTTCTTGGGCAACAAATGTTGATGCTTAGCTTTGTGGATTATTTCCATCACATTTAAAGTTTTTTTTAAATGCATTTAATTCACCAAATATAAAATTAGGAACTAGAGCGAAACATCAAAATGTTTCAACCATATTCCTCTTCATAAATAACTTCTATTTCTTAATTTGATAGGGTCTAACATTCTATAAAATTTTCTTTCTCATACTATCCCGAAGATATGTACTATAAAAATTTCAGTTACCTAACTGACATTTAGGTGATGAGAGAAAAATCTGACTTTATCGTCTTTCTGAACAACTACCTTTCACAGTATAGCATTTTCTTTCCAAGTGGCTTTGTTATTTTAACATTCTCTTTGTAACTGAGATATAGCACATTCCCTTTGTAACCTGTGTGATACTCATGTTACACAAGTTAAAACTATTAACGACACTAACAGCAATGTCCAAAGAGATGTTACCATTAAATGTCTGTCATTCTTATTGTCTACTTATCCAGATTTGTCACCTTTAAAAATTATCACTGTTGGTCAAAATAATTGGCAGAATGTAGTATTTGACTTCTTTATATTTTGCCATTATATTCAGATTGTTTTTTCTTATGAAAGTAATTTTGAGAATCATGCTTTTTAAAGCTGAAGTTCTCTACAGAATGAGGGAGAATTATGCTTCTACTAGATAAGATTGGGCAGTATTTCCTTTTATTTTCTTGCACTCCACCTGTATTGGAAGGGACATTGGAGGCTATCAAGTCTAACTTCCCACTCAGTATGTCACCTCTTTTAAAACATACTTGAACATGAGATTCCAGTTTGTGTTAAATATTATTAATGAAGAACAGCTCACCACTTTCCACAGCTCTTATCGCATTGTAAGAATGCTCTGGGCTGATGATGATAATAATAGTAACTAATATTATTATTGCTTACTATATTTCAGTGATTTTTAAATGCTTTAGCTTCTCAACTACCCTTTTACCCTTTACAGATATCTGATAATGTAGGTTCTAATACAATCTTCATATTAAAGATGGGGAAACTAAAGCCAAGGATGGTTAAGTGACTTGCCCAAAGGTATACTGTAGATAAGGAACAGAGCAGGAAGGGTCTATTTCTAGAGTTTCTCCTCTTAATTACCTTACAACAAAAAGCTCTCCCTTTTAAGTCAAAAAAATCTTTCTTGGAATTATATCCAACCGTCTGTTCATAGGTTCATTCAGTTATCTTACAAGAATTACTGATTACTTGTATCTGACAATGCAGGCAAGAATGTGTAAGACACATCTCATGTAATTTAGATTCTAATAAAAGAGTAAAGCACATTAATATTAACTGCAAAAGTATATGATCGGTGCCCAAACAGACACAATTAGGGTACAGACATGGCACAAAGAGGGAGTAGTCATCACTAGGTAGAGTGGCCAATTTCATGGAGGAAAACTTGAAATGAGTTTTCTATACATAGATGAAATTATCAAAGCAGATCTTATGAAGCAGAGTCGTCTGTTTAAACCCGGTGGTATGTGCAAAGAGGTCGTAACATACAGGGTATCAGAAACAGCTTGTATGAATCAAATGCAGGTTGAGGGACATAAAGCAGATAACATGAGACAAGTCTATAGAGACTGGTAGGAGTCAGGTAATCAAATACCTTG